>NC_000004.12:86042593-86194108 GCF_000001405.40 Homo sapiens | reverse complement strand
GGTTCATCTCACTGGGAAAGGTTAGAGAGTGGGTGCAGCCCACAGAGGGTGAGCTGAAGCAGGGTGGGGTGTCGCCTCACCCAGGAAGTGCAAGGGGTCAGGGAACTCCCTCTCCTAGCCAAGGGAAGCCATGAGGAACTGTGCCATGAGGAATGGTGCACTCTGGCGCAGATGCTACACTTTTTCGATGGTCTTCGCAACCTGCAGGTTCCCTCAGGTGTCTACACCGCAAGGGTCCTGGGTTTCAAGCACAAAATGGGCGGCCGTTTGGGCAGACACCAAGCTAGCTACAAGAGATTCTTTTCATACCCCAGTGGTGCCTGGAACACCAGCGAGACAGAACCATTCACCCCCCCTGGAAAGGGGGCTGAAGCCAGGGAGCCAAGTGGTCTAGCTTAGGGGATCCCACCCCCATGGAGCCCAGCAAGCTAAGATCCACTGGCTTGAAAATTCTCACTGACAGCACAGCAGTATGAAGTCGACCTGGGATGCTCAAGCTTGGTTGGGGGGAGGGGCGTCTGCCATTACTGAGGCTTGAGTAGACGGTTTTCCCCTCACAGTGTAAACAAAGATGCTGGAAAGTTCGAACTGGGCAGAGGCCACCACAGCTCAGCAAAGCCAGTGTAGCCAGACTGCCTCTCTAGATTCTGCCTGTCTGGGCAGGGCATCTCTGAAAGAAAGGCAGCAGCCTTAGTCAGCGACTTATAGATGAAACTCCTATCTCCCTGGGACAGAGTACCTGGGTGAAGGGGCAGCTGTGGGCACAGCTTCAGCAGACTTAAATGTTCCTGCCTGCCAGCTCTGAAGGGAGCAGCAGATCTCCCAGCACAGCAATCAAGCTCTGCTAAGGGACAGACTATCTCCTCAAGTGGGTCCCTGACCCCACACCTCCCAGCAAGGGTCGACAGACACCTCATACAGGAGAGCTCCAGCTGGCATCTGGCAGGTGCCCCTCTGAAAAAAGCTTCCAGAGGAAGGAACAGATGCAATCTTTGCTATTCTGCAGTCTCTGCTGGTGTTACTCAGGCAAACAGGATCTGGAGTGGACCCCCAGCAAACTCCAGCAGAGCTGCAGCAGAGGGGCCTGTTAGAAGGAAAACTAACAAACAGAAAGGAATAGCATCAACATCAACAAAAAGGACATTCACACAAAAACCCCATCTGAAGGTCATCAGCATCAAAAACCAAAGGTAGATAAATCCACAAAGATGAGGAAAAACCAGCACAAAAAGGCTGAAAATTCCAAAAGCCAGAATGCCTCTTCTCCTCCAAAGGATCACAACTCCTCGCCAGCAAGGGAACAAAGCTGGATGGAGAATGAGTTTGACGAATTGACAGAAGTAGGCTTCAGAAGGTGGGTAAAAACAAACTCCCCCAAGCTAAAGGAGCATGTTCTAACTCAATGCAAGGAAGTTAAGAACCTTGAAAAAAGGTTAAAGGAATTCCTAACTAGAATAACCAGTTTAGAGAAGAACATAAATGACCTGATGGAGCTGAAACACACAGCGTGAGAACTTCGTGAAGCATACACAAGTATCAATAGCCAAATCCATCAAGCGGAAGAAAGGATATCAGAGATTGAAGATCAACTTAATGAAATAAAGTGTGAAGACAAGATTAGAGAAAAAAGAATGAAAAAGAATGAACAAAGCCTCCAAGAAATATAGGACTATGTGAAAAGACCAAACCTATGTTTGATTGATGTACCTGAAAGTAACAGGGAGAATGGAACCAAGTTGAAAAACACTCTTTAGGATATTATCCAGGAGAACTTCCCCAACCTAGCAAGAGAGGCCAACATTCATATCCAGGAAATACAGAAAACACCACAAAGATACTCCTTGAGAAGACCAACCCCAAGATATATAATCATCAGGTTCACCAAGGTTAAAATGAAGGAAAAAATGGTAAGGGCAGCCAGAGAGAAAGGTTGGGTTACCCATAAAGGGAAGCCGATCAGACTAACAGCAAATATCTCTGCAGAAACCCTACAAGCCAGAAGAGAGTGGGGGGCAATATTCGACATTCTTAAAGAAAAGAATTTTCAACCCAGAATTTCATATCCAGCCAAATTAAGCTTCATAAGTGAAGGAGAAATAAAATTCTTTACAGACAAGCAAATGCTGAGAGATTCTGTCACCACCAGGCCTGCCTTACAAGAGCTCCTGAAGGGAGCACTAAATACGGAAAGGAACAGTTGGTACCAGCCACTGAAAAAACATCCCAAATTGTAAAGACCATCGACACTATGAAGAAACTGCATCAACTAATGGGCAAAATAACCAGCTGACATCATAATGACAGGATCAAATTCACACATAACAATATTAACCTTAAAGGTAAATGGGCTAAATGCCCCAATCAAAAGACACAGACTGGCAAATTGGATTGAGTTAAAATTGGATAGAGTCAAGACCCGTCGGTGTGCTGTATTCAGGATACCCATCTCACATGCAAAGACACATATAGGCTCAAAATAATGGGATGGAGGAATAGTTACTAAACAAATGGAAAGCAAAAAAAAAAAAAAAAAAAAAAAAAAAAAAAAAAAAAAAGCACGGGTTGTAATCCTAGTCTCTGATAAAGATCAAAAAAGACAAAGAAAGGCATTACATAAAGGTAAAGGGGTCAATGCAACAAGAAGAGCTAACTCTCTTAAATTTATATGCACCCAATACAGGAGCACCTGGATTCATAAGGCAAGTTCTTAGAGACCTACAAGGAGACTTAGACTCTCACACAATAATAGTGGGAGAATTTAACACCCCATTGTCAATATTAGACAGATCAACGAGGCAGAAAATTAACAAGGATATTCAGGACTTGAATGCAGCTCTGGACCAAGTGGACCTAATAGACATCTACAGAACTTTCTACCCCAAATCAGCAGAATATACATTCTTCTCAACACCACATAGCATTTATTCTAAAATTGACCACATAATTGGAAGTAAAACACTCCTCAGCAAATGCAAAAGAATGGAAATCATAACAAACAGTCTTTCAGACCACAGTGCAATGAAATTAGAATGCAGGATTTAAAAACTTACTCAAAACCACAGAACTACATAGATACTGAACAACCTGCTCCTAAATGACTACTGGGTAAATAACAAAATTAAGGCAGAAATAAATCAGTTATTTGAAATTGAGGAGAACAAAGACACAATATACCAGAATCTCTGGGAGACAGCTAAAGCAGTGGTTAGAGGGAAATTTATAGCACTAAATGCCCACAGGAGAAAGTGAAAAAGATCTAAAATCAACATCCTAACATAATAATTAAAAGAACTAGAGAAGCAAGAGTAAACAATTTCAAAAGATAGCAGAGGACAAGAAATAACTAAGATCAGAGCAGAACTGAAGGATAGATACACAAAAAACCCTTCAAAAAATCACAGAATCCAGGAGCTGGTTTTTTTGAAAAGGTTAACAAAATAGATAGACTGCTAGCCAGACTAATAAAGAGGAAAAGAAAGAAGAATCAAATAGACACAATAAAAAATGAAGAAGGGGATATCACCACTGATCCCACAGAAATACAGACTACCGTCAGAGAATACTATAAACACCTCTATGCAAATAAACTTGAAAATCTAGAAAAAATGGTTAAATTCCTGGACACATACACCCTCCCAAGACTAAACCAGGAAGAAGTTAAATCCCTGAATAGACCAATAACAAGTGCTGAAATTGAGGCAGTAATTAATAGCCTACCAACCAAAAAAAGCCCAGGACCAGACAGATTCACAGCTGAATTCTACTGGAGGTACAGAAGAGCTGGTATCATTCCTTCTGAAACTATTCCAGACAATAGAAAAAGAGGGACTCCTTCCTTACTCATTTTATGAGGCCAGCATCATACTGATACCAAAACCTGGCAGAGACACAGCGTAAAAAGAAAATTTCAGGGCAGTATCCCTGATGAACATCAATGTAAAAATCCTCAATAAAATACTGACAAACCAAATCCAGCAGCACATCAAAAAGCTTATCTACCTTGACCAAGTTGGCTTCATCCCTGGGATGCAAGGGTGTTTCAGCATATGCAAATCAATAAATGTAATCCATCACAGAAACAGAACCAATGACAAAAACCACATGTTTATCTCAATAGATGCAGAAAAGGCCTTCGATAAAATTCAACACCCATTCATGCTAAAAACTCTCAATAAACTAGGCACTGATGGAACGTATCTCAAAATAATAAGAGCTATTTATGACAGTTCCACAGCCAGTATCATACTGAATGGGAAAAGCTGGAATAATTCCCTTAGAAAACCAGCAGAAGACAAGGTGCCCTCTCTCACCACTCCTATTCAACAGAGTATTGGAAGTTCTGACTGGGGCAATCAGGCAAGAGAATGAAATAAAGCGTATTCAAATAAGAAGAGAAGAAGTCAAATTTTCTCTGTTTGCAGATGACATGATTGTATATTTAGAAAACCTCATCATCTCAGTCCAAAATCTCCTTAATCTGATAAGCAACTTCAGCAAAGTCTCAAGATACAAAGTCAATTTGCAAATATCACAAGCATTTCTATATACCAATAATAGACAAACAGAGAGCCAAATCATGAGTGAACTCCCATTCACAACTGCTACAAAGAGAATAAAATACCTAGGAATACAATTAAAAGGGATGCGAATGACCTCTTCAAGGAGAACTACAAAACATGGCTGAAGGAAATAAGAGAGGACACAAATAAATGGAAAAACAAAACATACCATGCTCATGGATAGGAAGAATCAATATTGTGAAAATGGCCATACTGCCTAAAGTAATTTATAGATTCAATGCTATTCCCATCAAACTACCTTTGACATTCTTCACAGAATTAGAAAAAACTACTTTAAATTTCATATGGAACCAAAAAAGAGCCCATAAAGCCAAGACAATCCTAAGCAAAAAGAACAACACTGGAGGCATCATGCTACCTGACTTCAAACTATATTACAAGGCTACAGTAACCAAAACAGCATGGTGCTGGTACCAAAACAAATACATAGACCAATGGAACAGAACAGAGGCCTCAGAAATAATGCCCCAAATCTACAACCATCTGATCTTCAACAAAAATAAGCCATGGGGAAAGGATTCCCTATTTAATAAATGGTGTTGGGAAAACTGGCTAGCCATATGCAGAAAACTGAAACTGGACCCTTTCCTTACACCTTATACAAAGATTAACTCAAGATGGATTAAAGACTTAAACGTAAGACCTAAAACCATAAAAACCGTAAAAACCGTGGAAGAAAACCTAGGTAATATCATTCAGGACATAGGCATGGGCAAAGACTTCATGACTAAAACACCAAAAGCAATGGCAACAAAAGCCAAAATTGACAAATGGGATCTAGTTAAACTAAAGAGCTTCTGCACAGCAAAAGAAATTATTACCAGAGTGAACAGGCAACCCACAGAATGGGGGAACATTTTTGCAATGTATCCATCTGACAAAGGGCTAAAGTCCAGAATCTATAAAGAACTTAAATTTATGAGAAAATAACAAACAACCCCATCAAAAAATGGGCAAATGATATGAACAGTCACTTCTCAAAAGAAGACATTTATGCAGACAACAAACATATGAAAAAAAGCTCTTCATCACTGGTCATTGGAGAAATGCAAATCAAAACCACAATGAGATAACATCTCATGCCAGTTAGAATGGTGAGCATTAAAAAGTCAGGAAACAACAGATGCTGGAGAGGATGTGGAGGAATAGGAAAGCTTTTACACTGTTGGTGGGAGTGTAAATTAGTTCAACCATTGTGGAAGACAGTGTGGTGATTCCTCAAGGATCTAGAACCAGAAACACCATTTGACCCAGCAATCCCATTACTGGGTATATATCCAAAGGATTCTAATCATTCAACTATAAAGACAAATGCACAGGTATGTTTATAGTGGCACTGTTCACAATAGCAAGACTTGCAACCAAACCAAATGCCCATCAGTAATAGACTAGATAAAGAAAATATGCCACATACACACCATGGAATACTACGCAGCCATAAAAAGGATGAGTTCATGTCCTTTGCAGGGACATGGATGAAGCTGGAAACCATCATTCTTAGCAAACTAACAGGAACAGAAAGCCAAACATCCCATGTTCTCACTCACATGTGGGAGCTGAACAATGAGAACACATGGGCACAGGGAGGGGAACATCACACACCAGGGCATGTCGAGAGGGATAGAATTAGGAGAAACACCTAATGTAGATGACAGATTGATGGGTGCAGCAAACCACCATGGCACATGTATACCTATGTAACAAACCTTCATGTTCTGCACATGTATCGCAGAACTTAAAGTATAAGTTTTTAAAAAAGTAGTTTAGGAAATGGAAGTGAATAGGTGTTTAGTTTCTAATTCATTTAAGTTAGAATGGGAATAAAGGTAATTTTTTCAAGTTTTATTATAAAGTGATTTCTTCTTTGATTATATTTACACTTAAAGATTTTAGTATTTCTTTTCAAATCCTTGAAATGGGTCTTTAACCATAAAAATAGTTTCATTCTTTACAGTAGTCCCCCCTTATCTGTGGTTTCGGTTTCCACAGTTTCAGTCACCTACTGTTAACTGTGGTCCTCAAAATATTAAATTGAAAATTCCAGAAATAACAACTCATGAGTTTTAGATTGCACGCTGTTCTGAGTAGTGTGAAGAAATCTTGTGCCATCTTGCTCCATCCCACTTAGGTTGTGCAGCACGTCCATATAATGCCACCTGCCAGTGAATTACGTAACAACCATCTCTGTTATCAGATTGACTGTTGTGGTATCACAGTGCTCGTGTTCAAGTAACTTTTATTTTACTTAATTGTTCTATTTTATATTAGTTATTGTTGTTAATATCTTACTGTGCCTAACTTATAAATTAAACTTTATCATAGGTATATATGTATAGGGTTCAGTGCTATCTGTGGTTTCAGGCATCCACTGGGGGTCTTAAAATGTATTCTCTGAATATAAGGGGAGACTACTGTATTATTATTTCTCATCATACGAACTGATTAGCCTGAAATAGAGTATCTCTAAACCCACTATAATAATATACAGGTGGTAGTCAGTTTTTTTTCTGATGCCTAATTCTAACCAGTACTTATAATAGTAAAAATGTTAACCAACAATAATGACAAACAATGGTATACTTAACCTAGAAGGGAAAGTAAGAAGGTGGCAACAACGTTTGTTAGTGTGCATGGACTAGATAAGAGTTGACTTCTTTGTATTCATGCAAACCCTATCTTTAAGGAGAAGGCTCCCTAGGGCACCTACATAAACTTCAAGTATTTTTAAAACAGTTCTAACTTAACCCTGTTGTCATATATAATTGACAGTGCTTTCTTTTACTCTCAAGAATTGTTCTAGTTTTGGCAAAAAATTGTATGTTACCTTATTCATACTTAAGCAGAGAGCTTCCCTTCAGTTTTTCAGCATGATTATCATTGCACCTTCTCTTTGAGCTGTGTTTTAAATAAAGAATGACATGAATCATTGAAACAAGATTTTTAAAATAACTCTTTTGCTTTATTTTAATGCAATCTTTCCTGATTCTAGAATTAATATTTGCTTATTATAGAAAATATAGAAAAGCATAAAAGGAAACAAAACATTGTTTTTGCATATGCTTTCTGTAACTACTGTATGTACTTTCCTTGAGCATAGATTTTCTATGAGAAAGTAAAATGTGTTGCCTGCAATGAATAAGATTTACTGATCTCTCTCATCTCCCTAAACTGTAATTGTTGCAGTTTCTGAAGTCTCAGGCCATTAGACAACTTCTCTAATAAGAACTCCAGTGCTAGACAGCCTTGGTTAGAAATTCCATTTCTATCCCTTATTAGCCATTTACTTGTGACCTTGGGCAAGTTACTTGATCTCTATGTGCTTCAGTTTCTTTATTTATAAAAGGAGGAAATAATAATACCTATATTTTAGGCTTGTTATGAGAATTAAATGAGTTTATACTTGCAAAGCACTGAGAGCAGTACTGGCACATGTGTTTGTTAAATAGATGATTAAATTTTAAATAAATTTATACTCACTTTCTAGTGCTCCCACTGAGTCCCAGTGCTTTAAATATTATCATTATCATGAATATCACACAGTTTTATCTCCAACCCAAACATTTTCCTGGAACTGGACTCATATTCAACTGTCTGTTCTACATCTCCACTTAGATGTCAAATAGGCATATCAGACTGTACGCATTCCAAAGCAACACCTCATCTATCCTCTAAAATTACTCTTCCCATTGTCTACTCCAGTTCAGTAACTGATAACTTCACTCTTCCACTTATAATAAAATCCTTGGAATCATCTTTTGGGTCACACTCCATATTCAAGCTGTCAGCAAATTCTGTTGACTCTATAATTAAAACATAACTGGAATCTCACTGATTCTCACTATTTCTCCACTACCACCCTGAAAGATACCCTTATCTCTTGCTTAAATTATTGTAAGAGCTTCTACTTTTGCCCACCCCCAAGTGGTTTACTCTTAAAACATTAGAAAGAATTGTCTTTGAAAAATAATTGAGATCATGTCACTCCTTGACTAAAACTAAAACAAAAGAGAAAGACCTTTCAATGTCTTCCTATCTCACTCAGCAAAAATTAAAATCCTTATAATAAATCCCCAAGCCTTTATTATCTAGCCCCCTAGAAACCTCTATCCTAAAATGTTCTTCTGTTATCCACTTGGGCCACTCCTTAACCATCTTCAGGGCTTCACTGAAATGTCATTTTTAAGCAAATCTTTCCTGACAATCCTTTTAAAAATAGTCCTAACTACCTGACTGCATACCCAACTTCCTTGCCTCCATAATACATCAGTATCTAACGTTCTATATATGTTGCTGGTCTGGAATTTTGCTCCTCTCTCTCCACTTGAATGCATTTTGCACATGAACCAGATTTTTTTCAGTGTCCTGCTGGGGCCAGTTCACACAGGCTCACAAGAGCTGAATATGCACAACTTTCCAACTCAAAGTTTAACGATGCCAAGTTGGTAACTTAAAATCTGTCATGATCGGAGTATTTATGTTACAGAAATGTGCAAATACTGCAAATAGGCCCCTTTCCCATTATTTCTCCTCCCCAGCCAGTTGTTGAACATTTACCAGCACACCATTGGAATCGTCTCCTGTTCACTGCTGTACTGCAGAACTCACAATAGTATCTGACATAGGGTCGGTGTATTAGGCAGTTCTTGTGATGCTATAAAGAAATACTTGAGGCTGGGTAATTTATAGAGAAAAGAGGTTTAACTGGCTCATGGTTCTGCGACAGTACAAGAAATGTGGCACAGGCATCTGCTTCTGGTTCAGGAAGCTTACAATTATGGTAGAAAGCAAGGGAGGAGCAGGCATCTCACACGGCCAGCGTGGGAGCAAGAGAGAAAGCAGGGAAGGTGCCACACACTTCTAAGCAACCAGATCTCATAAGAACTCACTCACTGTAGTGAGGACAACACCAAGCCACAAGGGATCCATCTCCATGACCCAAACACCTCCCACCAGGCCCCACCTGCAGCACTGAGGATTACATTTTAACATGAGATTTGAAGGGGACAAATATCCAAACCATATCAGTAGGCTCTCATCAAACATCTGCAGAATGAATAAATGAATCATACATGTTTTGCTTATGTAATCAGTAGCAACAGTGATCCTGCTGTGGTGTAAAATGAGTAGGCCTGAATTTTTAGGTTAAATATCTGGGCCCTAGCACTTGCAAGCTGTATGACTGTGAGCTATTTCCTTAGCCTTCATTATCCTAGCCATTTACTTGCCATTAACACTTAAAAAACATACCAACCGACATAAAACCATAAAAACCCTAGAAGAAAACCTAGGCAATACCATTCAAGACATAGGCATGGGCAAGGACTTCATGTCTAAAACACCAAAAGCAATGGCAACAAAAGACAAAATTGACAAATGAGATCTAATTAAACTAAAGAGCTTCTGCACAGCAAAAGAAACTACCATCAGAGTGAACAGGCAACCTACAGAATGGGAGAAAATTTTTGCAATCTACTCATCTGACAAAGGGCTAATATCCAGAATCTACAATGAACTCAAACAAATTTACAAGAAAAATACAAACAACCCCATCAAAAAGTGGGCAAAGGACATGAACAGACACTTCTCAAAAGAAGACATTTATGCAGCCAAAAGACACATGAAAAAATGCTCATCATCTCTGGCCATCAGAGAAATGCAAATCAAAACCACAATGAGATACTGTCTCACACCAGTTAGAATGGCGATCATTAAAAAGTCAGGAAACAACAGGTGCTGGAGAGGATGTGGAGAAATAGGAACACTTTTACACTGTTGATGGGATTGTAAACTAGTTCAGCCATTGTGGAAGTCAGTGTGGCGATTCCTCAGGGATCTAGAACTAGAAATACCATTTGACCCAGTCATCCCATTACTGGGTATATACCCAAAGGATTACAAATCATGCCACTATAAAGACACATGCACACGTATGTTTATTGCGGCACTATTCACAATAGCAAAGACTTGGAACCAACCCAAATGTCCAACAATGATAGACTGGATTAAGAAAATGTGGCACATATACACCATGGAATACTATGCAGCCATAAAAAATGATGAGTTCATGTCCTTTGTAGGGACATGGATGAAGCTGGAAGCCATCATTCTCAGCAAACTATCGCAAGGACAAAAAACCAAACACTGCATGTTCTCACTCATAGATGGGAACTGAACAATGAGAACACATGTACACAGGAAGGGGAACATCACACACTGGGGACTGTTGTGGGGTAGGGGGAGGGGGGAGGGATAGCATTTGGAAATATACCTAATGTTAAATGACGAGTTACTGAGTGCAGCACACCAACATGGCACATGTATACATATGTAACTAACCTGCACAATGTGCACATGTACCCTAAAACTTAAAGTATAATAATAATAAAAAAAAACCAGCCAAAACTAAAATCTAAGTTAATGTTTTACATATTTCAAGACTAAATCTGAAACTCAAAAACAATTATCAATTAACATAGCCTAAAAATTTCAGCCATTTTTTAAAATACAGAAAGTCTTTGTGTAGGGTGTCGTTATTTTTCAGTTCAACTTTCTACATTTGGGTGTAGATACAGAATGTTTATTTTTAATGAGAGTTCTTTTAAAGCAAAGGAATAAAAAGAAGTGAAGCATGAACTTTCTTAATGACTGGATTTTCTTGCTTATTATGAGCTTTTAATACACAGAAAATATGCATGCATATAACGTTTTTAAAAAATCTAGAAATAGCATAGTAAAAATATTTCCATTTGTGACTGGACATTTTATTTACTTCCTATGTAGAATTTTCTCTGATAAAAACACTTATTTTTATTTTTCTTATAACTCTGTGCCTCATTCACTTCTCTAGCAATTTAAAGAAAACAGTGTATTTATTTTTAGAGGCAGAATGATGTATTGGGGTTTTCTTTCTAACTATGTTCCTTGGAAGCTTCTCATTTCCTGGGGCATCTCACAGATCCTTTATGTGCTATGGTGTTTAAGCTTATCACCAGCTTGGCTAAGGCTACTCTCAACTTTTTGCCCAACAGACAATACTCAAAGATCTTAAAAAACTTGTCAATAATTAATTAATGATTAACTGTGTCCAGAATTCCAGTCTCTTGAGCCTTAGTCCATGGGGTTTTCAATTATGTCATATTTCTAAGCTTTTCACTATTGTCTGCAAGAAATCAGAGAAATACGGAAAATGAAATTGCTGAATAGTATTTGTTAACAGAAAATAGGTACATTATCTTTAATAGTTTTTACCTTAATTCTTAACTCAATTATTTGAAGAATATGGGATTCACTGACTTTTTTGAAGAAGTTACTCTTATTATTTTTTTTAACCCAACCAAGTAGCTTTTGAAGGCAAGAGGCTTCTTGTTATAGTCTCGGGAGAAATTTTTCTTTGTAATGTTGGACAATAAAAGAATAATCTTTAGTTTGCACTGGTATTAATTCAATAATTACAAAAATATAAACCTACAGGGAATATAAAGTGAAAAATTCTTGATTCTCCTGAGCAATAGGTAAGTAGTCTTAGCCCTCTTTTCTCAATTGAACAGAGGTACAGAACTGTTACATTTCACTCTATGAATTTAAAAAACTCATGAAAGTGTTCTTTTTGGAACTTTGTTGTACTGAACAGATTATTCAGGATTTTAACCAGGAGATATATTCACAGAGAAATAATATGTGTTGTGGCTCCCCAACTCCTACACACTCTCTGGTGTCTACAGCACTTACCGCATTCTTTGTGCATTACTACTAAGTTTACAGATTTGTTTTCCCCATTCAGTGGTACTATCTCAGGGTCAGGACCAGGGCATCTTCCTCCTTAACTCCCAGGCCCAGAAGTTTATCTTACTACAGAAAATATTCAATGAAAGAGGGAAAATGAAAACCCAGCAGAAAAACACCATTTCCTAAGTAGAAATGTGTTTGCTTGCTTTTCAAAATCAAATCAATTTTTCAACATCCTCATATCCTACAAGTGTATGTTAATAGATTTAATTATGTTTTCATTATTTTCCTAATCATAAATCAGTATTTACCTAACATTTATCTAACATTTATCAACTTAGTGTCCTCTGTAAACATTTACCGATGATTTAGTTATGAATAATTTTAAATTATTTCCTGATTTTGAGAAAGCCTGTGACACAGAGGGTACAAATTAATTAATCATCAAATCATAAATTTAAGCAGCACTAGAAGTAAAAGGGACTGAGCTAAGACTGGTCTTCCTTTTTCTTATGACACAAAAACTCCTTTTGGCTCCTTATCTACTCGTTGACTGATTGATTATTGATTTTACCATTCATCGATTCAATACATATTTTTAAGAGTTTTTGGTAATTTTTCTAATTTATTAGTTTAATATCCATCCCATTTAAAAATTTAATTTACTTAAAAAAATTGGCACATAACAATCATACATGTTTATGGAGGTACATAGTGATGTTTTGATACATATAATGTATAGTAATCACATCAGGGTGATTAACATATCCATCATCTCAAACATTTATCACTTCTTTGTTTTGAGAACATTCAATATCCTCCTTCTAACTATTTGAAATTTATAATATAAACTATAGTCACCCTACAGTGCTGTAGAACACCGTATTTTATTCTTCCTGTCTAGCTCTAATTTTATACCCTTTAACAATCTCTTTTTTCCCCCAACCCTTACCCATCTCAGCCTCCAGTATCCTCTGTTCTACTTTTTATTTCTATGAGATCAACTTTTTTTAGCTTCCATATATGAATGAGAACATGTGGTGTTTAACTTCCTGTTCTTCTCTTATTTCACTTAACATAATGTCTTCCAGTTCCATTCATGGTGCTGAGAATGACAGGATTTCATTTCTCTTTTATGGCTCAGTAGTATTCCATTGAGTGTATATACCTAATTTGCTTTATCTAGTCATGTGTTGTTGGACACCTAAGGTTGATTCCATGTCTTGGCTATTGTGAATAGTGCAGTAAACATGGGGGTGCAGATATCTCTTTGATACACTAGTTTTCTTTTTTCTTCTTCTTTTTTTTTTTTTTGATGAACACCCAGTAGTGGGATTGCTGGATCATATGGTAGTTCTATCTGTAGTTTTTTGAAGAAGCTATATACTGTTCTCCATAGTGCTTGTACTAGTTTACATTCCCACCAACAGTGTATAAGAGCTTCCTTTTCTCCATATCTCACCAACATTTATTATTTTTTGTCCTTTTTATAATAGTCATTCTAACCGGGGTAGAATAACACATCAATGTGGTTTTGATTTGTAGTTTTCTGATGATTAGTGATGTTGAGTGATCTTTTCATATATTTTTTGGCCATTCGTGTGTCTTCTTTTGAGACATGTCTGTTCAGATCATTTGTTTATTTTATAATCCAGATTTTGTTGTTGTTATTGAGATATTTGAGCTCCTTGTATATTTAGGATATTAATTCCCTTTGGAATCAATAGTTTGAAAATATTTTCTCCCATTCTTTGGGTTGTATTTTCACTTTGCTGATTGTTTCCTTTGCTGTGCAAAAGCTTTTTAGTTTGATACAATCCATTTTTTTTTGTTTTGTTGCCTCTGCTTTTGAGGTCTTATTTTCATAAAATCTTTGCCCAGAACAGTGTTCCAAAGCATATTCCCTATGTCTTCTTCTAGTAGTTTTATAGTTTTAGGTCTTACATTTAAGTATTTCATCTATCTTGAGTTGTATTTTGTTTATTGTGAGAGATATAGTTTCATTCTTCTTCATATGGATAACCATTTAGCATCATTTATTGAAGAGAGTTTCCCTTCCCCAATGTATGTTCTTGGTAGCTTTGTCAAAAGGTAGTTGGCGTAGATATGTAAATTAATTTCTGGGTTTTCTGATTTGTTCTGTTGGCCTATGTGTCTGTTTTTATGCCAGTGCCATGCTGTTTTGGTTACTATAGCCTTGTAGTATATTTTGAAGTCTGGTGGCGTAATATCTTTAGCTTTGTTCTTTTTGTTAAGGATTGCTTTGGCTATTTGGGGCCTTTTGTGGTTCCATACAAATTTTTGGATTTTTTTTCCTGGGAAGAATGTCGTTGGTATTTTGGTAGGCGTTACATTGAATGTGTAGGTTGCTTTGGTTAGTATGGTCATTTAACAATATTAATTCTTCTGATCCATAAGCATGAGATATCTTTTCATTTGTATCCTTTTTAATTTCTTTCATCGGTGTTTTATAGTTTTCCTTGTATAAGTCTTTCACCTCCTTGGTTAAATTTATTCCTAGGTATTTTATTGTTTGTGTACTATTGTAAATGGAATTGACTTCTTGATTTCTTTTCTTTTCTTTCTTTTTTTATTTTTATTTTTGAGATGGAGTCACTTTGTCACCCAGGCTGGAGTGCAGTGGTACGATCTTGGCTCACTGCAACCTCCACTTCCCAGGTTCAAGTGATTCTCCTGCCTCAGTATCCCAAGTAGCTGGGACTACAGGTGCTGACCACCATGCCTGGCTAATTCTTTGTATTTTTAGTAGAGACAAGGTTTCATCATGTTAGCCAGGATGGTCTCAATCTCCTGACCTTGTGATGTGCCCACCTTGGCCTCCCAAAGTGCTGGGATTATAAGCATGAGCCACCACACCCAGCAAACTTCTTGATTTCTTTTTTAGCTAGTTTGTTGTTCGTGTGTAGAAATGTTACTGATTTTTGTTTGTTGATTTTGCATTCTGCAATTTTATTGAATTTGTTTTGTTACTTCTAAGGGTTTTTTAGTAGAGTCTTTAGGTTTTTCTATATATGAGTTCATGCCATCTGCAAACAGGGACAACTTGACTTCTTCCTTTCTACTTTGGATGCCCTTTACTTATTTCTAATGTCTAATTGCTTTGACCAGTTCTTCCAGTACTATGTTGAATAATAGTGGAAAGAGTGGGCTGTCTTGTTCCACTTCTTAGAGGAAAAGCTTTAAGGTTTTCCCTATTCAGTATGATGTTAGCTATGGGTTTATCATAAATGGCCTTTGTTGCAAGACATCTTACTGAGTACCTATAAAATGTACTTGTAATTTGTGTAATATAAACTAGAGATACAGCATGATGTGGTTACTCTCCTAAAAAACATGCTGTTTACTCTCAATCATGGTAGGGAGTAGTTAGGCTTATAAACATTAAAAAAACCCTACTCCTTAGAGTTCAAGACCTCAGAGATAAGCAATAATGAGTCACCAAACATCCAACCAACCAAAACCCCTCACTACCTATTGAATACTTACTGTGTGTGAAAAATTTATTAATATTTTACCTCATTTTATCTTTATAATACCACTTAAACTACATTTAACTGAGAACAAAAAAACTATGATTAAATGCAAAGGAACCTAAGATACTTTTGGACCAGTAGGGGGAAAAAGGTTTTTACACAAATTCCAAAATATTGTGGTGGTATTTAAGGTCCAAAAATACTACTGGAGATAAGAAAAAAATAGCAGTCTTAATGTGGAGTTGTTAGTGTCAAAATTAGCCTTCAGTTAAAAACAATTCTTACTTTTTTTGGCATTTTACGTTGTAAGATATAATAGCCAAGATTAAACATGTTGCCTTTTTTTGGTTAAAGCAATGTCTTTTAAATAAATATGAAATATTATTAGATGACTTGATTAGTTAATTAAAATATATTTTATTCCTCTGGATAATAAAAGCACTATATGTGTATATATAATAATATCTATCCTTTAGCAAAATTACTGATCACTTGATTTACTATTACTTTTTGGCACAGTGTTTTTCAATCTTTGGAAATTTCAGGATAATTTGCTAATGTTTTATGGGGTGCAGTAACCTTTAAGAGCCCTTTTTAAACCTGGAAACTAGTAAACAAGGGAATTTGTAAAAAGAAGTGTCTGGAGTGTCCATGGAGCGATTTCATTTTAAATGATATGTTGAGATTACTAGCATCTAGAGCATTTAAAAAACATCATTAAGCTTGGTTCCAGAATTATATGGGTTTTTAAAAACAGCTCTCTTGATTTTAAGGCAATTTGAATTTAAAATAACTTGCTCATTTCATTTGATGGGTCTATGATGTTTCTATTTCAAAGACTTTGAAAATATCCAATTAAAAATTTTATACTTCATTGGATGGCCATCCTAGTTGGAATAAAGACTTCTATACCAACATGAGAAGTAAAGCAACAAAGAAAAAGATTTTTGGCAGAGCAGGGCAAAGGAAAAACCTGCATAATGTAACAGGTAAACTGTAAACCATTTTAGGTGATCTGTGAAACAAATGATATGGTTTGTATGGTTTAGGTTTTTGGGAGGACTGCCTGAACCCCCCAAAAACTCAATTTAGAGTCTTCACCTGATACACATATGGCTTAAGGGGATCAGCAGGTTGAACTGTGGATGTAGTTGAAGGCACTGGTGTTTCATAAATAAATGGCTGTGGTTTTGAGATATGAACCTATATATCCCTTTTTAAAAAAACTATTTTAGTTTTTCATGTAATGGGGAAAGAGAAATTTTTACTTTACCTTCTCCTTTTAATGAGTGTTCTTTCTTATGTATTATTTAAGGAAACCTGACTCTTTCTTCTACATCTGCTTTAATATGTAACATTTAATTTTGCACTAATTTTCTAAAATCACAATGTATATGCTTTTGTTTGCATGACTATGAGTAAATTATTAAACAAAGATAAGGTAAACATTATTATAAAAATGTGATATATCTTGTATGTTGAAATAAATCACAGAGATTTCTGTACTGTCATGATAACGGTCTACCTGTTTTTATGGATGAATGATTAATGTTGCTTGACATTAGGTTTTTTCTGGGTATCCACAGGTGAACACAGTTATAGCAAATTTCAGAAGTGTTAATTTAGTGCTATGCTTCTGTTTTATATGCTGAGCAGTTTTTTTCTAAAAATTTATTAAGTAGTTATTATAGTTAATGAATACCCTTAGTTATGCTGCTCAAGTTTAACAGAAAATTTGAAGGTCCTAAGGTTCAGTTCCGTGATAATTAACTTTTCTGTATTGGTTCATTGTGAAAATGTGCTTGATTTGCTTGAAGCACAAAAAGGTCAGATTTTGACTTCTTTTTGAATTGGTTTAACCTGAATTCAAGTGTAATTTGATGTTATGAGCTTAATTATTGTTGAGGTATTAATCAGATTAAATGCAGTTATTAGTTACATTTTTCAAAATACAGAAGTTGTGTTAAAAAATATTCCAGAACTATTCGTGATTTTCAGTGTATGGTTAATTTGTAATCATGCTCTGCAAGAGAAGCATCAACTTTTGGATTCCATTCTTTTCTATATTATGTTCTTAGGTAATCAACTAACTCCTTAAGTACACTATTTTAATTCTATTATCCTTCTGATAGGAGACTTTTGAAATATATTTTAAGTGATAATGTTTGCTTATCTGCACAGTTATTATTTGAAAGTATGATGCATGATAACCATAGGCTGCATTTTTCAGTAGGTTAAGAAGAATGTCCACTTTGGTTCTGAGTTCTAAAACCAGTTCTAATCTGGAGTGTATCATTCAATTCCTCTTTTGTTCATCTTCTCTGTAAGTGAATGTTTATTTGGTTATAGATATGTCTAACTCATTCAATAAAGGTCAAGTCAGCTACAAAAGTACATATTCAAAAAGATGAAAAACAAGATCATGGAGAATGTGGAACTATTAAAGTGAGGTACCAATTAAATCCTTTCATAATTGTGCAGATGAGGGAATGATAAGGATATGCTTCATGTATTAGTCTGTTCTTGCATTGCTTTAAATATGTACCTGAGGCTAGGTAATTTATAAATAATAGAGATTTAATTGGTTCACGGTCCTGCAGGCTGTACAGGAAGCATGGAAGCATCTGCTTGGCTTCTGGAGTGGCCTCAGGAAACTTGTAATCATGGTGGAAGGTGCAGGGGAAATAGGCACGTCTTACATGGCAGGAGCAGGAGGAAGAGAGAGAGGAGGGAGGTGTCACACACTTTTAAACAACCAGATCTCACGAGAACTCACTATTGAGATGGCAGCACTAAAGGGAATGGTGTTAAACCATGAGAAACCACCCCCATGATCCAGTCATCTCCCACCAGGCCCCACCTCCAACACTGGGGATTACAATTCCACAGGAGATTGGGGTAGACATACAGATCAAAACCATATCACATCACACAGGGTTTAAGAATAACGTTCTTTGTTGTGTGAATGAAAACATGGCTTTAGTGTTTCAGATTCTTAAATGTAGCATTTGAAAAACTCTAATTCTCTTTTCTAAAAATATAAAGACATATTTTAGAGATGAGTTAGTGAAATCCAGATAATTCATTTTAACCATTTCGATTCCCAAATGAAATTTTTACTTTCCTTATTATGAAATATTAACCTCTTACTTCCACTCTGAGAAGGATTTTTTTAAAATAAAATTTATTATTACTACTCTGGAAAATTTGTCCTGTCTTTGATTATGTAATACCACTTATTATTTCTGATTTCGTATGTCTTTTTTCTTTATTGCAGACAAATTGTGAATGTGTAGATCAAAAGGTGTAAAATTCAGTGTGATTAGTTTAGTAGTCTAGATCATTGTGATAATGAGGCCCATAACTTGAAAAAGTTTGATCCTCTAAGGGAAAATTTAATATTAAGCTCCATGAGGTCAGGAGCTTTGCATTCTCAGTGTCTAGGGTAGTTCTTGGCACATTTTATGACCAAAATAAATATAGAATGAAGAACATACTGCAGTAATAATAGACTCCAAATCTCAGTGATATATCAGATCAAAAGTTTATTTCCTGTCATTCAAATTCCAATTCAGGTGAGCAAGGGTTGTCCTCTATCTGGTGACTCAGGAGTTTAGTCATCCTGTGATGCACGAGCTAAAACACCACTGTGGAAAGAGAAGTGTTGAGGAGGCACATCACCTTTTTAAAAAAATTTAATTTAATTTTAAGCTCTGGGATACATTTGCAGAAAGTGCAGCTTTGTTACATAGGTAAATATGTGCCATGATGATTTCCTGCACCTATCAACCCACCCACATGCATTAGCTATTTGTCCTGATGCACTCCCTTCCACCACCCCCCTGACAGGTCCCAGTGTGTGTTGTTCCCCTCCCTGCGTCCATGTGCTCTCATTTTTCAGCTCCCACTTATGAGTGAGAACATGCAGTGTTTGGTTCTATTCCTATGTTAGTTTGCTGAGGATGATGGCTTCCAGCTTCATGCATGTCCCTGCAAAGGATATGATCTCATTCCTCTTTACGACTGCGTAGTATTCCACGGTGTATATGTGCCACATTTTCTTTATCCAGTCTATTATTAATGGGCATTTGGGTTTGTCATGTCTTTGCTATTGTAAATAATACTGCAATAAACATATGTGTGCATGTACCTTTATAGTAGAATTATTTATATTACTTTGGGTATATACCCAGTAATGGGATTGCTGGGTCAAATGGTATTTCCGGTTCTAGATCCTTGAGGAATTACCACACTGTCTTCCACAGTGGTTGAAGTAATTTATATTCCCACCAACAGTGTAAAAGCATTCTTATTTCTCTGCAGCCTTGCCAGCATCTATTGTTTCTTGAATTTTTAATTATTGCCATTCTGACTGGTGTGAGATGTTATCTCATTGTGGTTTTGATTTGCATTTCTCTAATAATCAGTGACGAGCTTTTTTTCATGTTTGTTGGCTGCATAAATGTCTTCTTTTGAGAAGTGTCTGTTCATGTCCTTTGGCCACTTTTGATGGGGTTGTTTTTTCCTTGTAAATTTGTTTAAGTTCCTTGTAAATTCTGGATATTAGACCTTTGTCAGATGAATAGATTGAAAAATTTTTCTCCCATTCTGTAGGTTGCCTGTTCATTTTGATGATAGTTTCTTTTGCTGTGCACCAGCTCTTTAGTTTAATTAGATCCCACTTGTCAATTTTTGCTTTTGTTGCAATTGCTTTTGGTGATTTCATCATAAAATCT
This sequence comes from Homo sapiens, assembly GCF_000001405.40. Classification (NCBI taxonomy): domain Eukaryota; kingdom Metazoa; phylum Chordata; class Mammalia; order Primates; family Hominidae; genus Homo; species Homo sapiens. The sequence goes on along the minus strand of NC_000004.12, from coordinate 86,173,573 downwards.
TTGCCCATGCCTATTTCCTGAATGATATTGCCTAGATTTTCTTCTAGGGTTTTTAAGGTTTTGGGTTTTACATTTTTCTTATTTAAGTCTTTAATCCATCTCGAGTTAATTTTTGTATAAGGTGTAAGGAAGGGGTCCAGGTTCAGTTTTCTGCATATGGCTAGTGAGTTCTCCCAGCACCATTTATTAAATAGAGAATCCTTTTCCCATTGCTTATTTTTGTCAGGTTTGCTGAAGATCAGATGGTTGTAGATGTGCAGTCTTATTTCTGAGCCCTCTATTCTGTTCAATTGATCTATGTATCTGTTTTTATACTCGTATTCTACTGTTTAGATTACTGCAGCCTTGTAGTATAGTTTGAAGTCAGGTAGAATGATGCCTCCAGTTTTGTTCTCTTTGCTTAGGATTGTATTGGCTATACGGGTTCTTTTTTGGTTTCATATGAATTTTAAACTAGTTTTTTTTTCTAATTCTGTGAAGAATGTCAATCATACTTTGATGGGAATAGCATTGAATCTATAAATTACTTTGGGCAGTATGGCCATTTTCACAATATTGATTCTTCCTATTCACAAGGATGGAATACTTTTCCATTTGTTTGTGTTGTCTCTTATTTCTTTGAACAGTGGTTTTGTAATTCTCCTTGAAAAGATCCTTCACATCTCTTGTTAACTGTATTCCTAGGCATTTTATTCTCTTTGTAGCAATTGTGAATGGAAGTTCATTCATGATTTGGCCCTCTGCTTGCCTATTGTTGGTGTATAGGAATGCTTGTAACTTTTTTTTTTAATTTTTTACTTATTTATTTTTATTTTTATTTTTTTCATGTTTCTTTACAATTTTATTATTATTATACTTTAAGTTTTAGGGTACATGTGCACAATGTGCAGGTTAGTTACATATGTATACACGTGCCATGCTGGTGTGCTGCACCCATTAACTCGTCATTTAGCATTAGGTATATCTCCTAATGCTATCCCTCCCCACTCCCCCCACCCCACAACAGTCCGCAGAGTGTGATATTCCCCTTCCTGTGTCCATGTGTTCTCATTGTTCAATTCCCACCCATGAGTGAGAACATGCGGTGTTTGGTTTTTTGTCCTCGCAATAGTTTACTGTGAATGATGATTTCCAATTTCATCCATGTCCCTACAAAGGACATGAACTCATCATTTTTTATGGCTGCATAGTATTCCATGGTGTATATGTGCCACATTTTCTTAATCCAGTCTATCATTGTTGAACATCTGGGTTGGTTCCAAGTCTTTGCTATTGTGAATAGTGCCGCAATAAACATACGTGTGCATGTGTCTTTATAGCACCATGATTTATAGTCCTTTGGGTATATACCCAGTAATGGGATGGCTGGGTCAAATGGTATTTCTAGTTCTAGATCCCTGAGGAATCGCCACACTGACTTCCACAATGGCTGAACTACTTTACAGTCCCACCAACAGTGTAAAAGTGTTCCTATTTCTGCACATCCTCTCCAGCACCTGTTGTTTCCTGACTTTTTAATGATTGCCATTCTAACTGGTGTGAGATGGTATCTCATTGTGGTTTTGATTTGCATTTCTCTGATGGCCAGTGATGATGAGCATTTTTTCATGTGTCTTTTGGCTGCATAAATGTCTTCTTTTGAGAAGTGTCTGTTCATATCCTTCGCCCACTTTTTGATGGGGTTGTTTTTTTCTTGTAAATTTGTTTGAGTTCATTGTAGATTCTGGATATTAGCCCTTTGTCAGATGAGTAGGTTGGGAAAATTTTCTCCCATTTTGTAGGTTGCCTGTTCACTCTGATGGTAGTTTCTTTTGCTGTGCAGAAGCTCTTTAGTTTAATTAGATCCCATTTGTCAATTTTGTCTTTTGTTGCCATTGCTTTTGGTGTTTTAGGCATGAAGTCCTTGTCCATGCCTATGTCCTGAATGGTAATGCCTAGGTTTTCTCCTAGGGTTTTTATGGTTTTAGATCTAACATTTAAGTCTTTAATCCATCTTGAATTAATTTTTGTATAAGGTGTAATGGAGGGATCCAGTTTCCGCTTTCTACATATGGCTAGCCAGTTTCCCCAGCACCATTTGTTAAATAGGGAATCCTTTCCCCATTGCTTGTTTTTCTCAGGTTTGTCAAAGATCAGATAGTTGTAGATATGCAGCGTTATTTCTGAGGGCTCTGTTCTGTTCCATTGATCTATATCTCTGTTTTGGTACCAGTACCAAAAGTTTTGATTCTTCTTTATTAATCTTGCTAGCAGTCTATCAATTTTGTTGATCCTTTCAAAAAACCAGCTCCTAGGTTCATTAATTTTTTGAAGGGTTTTTTGTGTCTCTATTTCCTTCAGTTCTGCTCTGATTTTAGTTATTTCTTGCCTTCTGCTAGCTTTTGAATGTGTTTGCTCTTGCTTTTCTAGTTCTTTTAATTGTGATGTTAGGGTGTCAATTTTGGATCTTTCCTGCTTTCTCTTGTGGGCATTTAGTGCTATAAATTTCCCTCTACACACTGCTTCGAATGAGTCCCAGAGATTCCGGTATGTTGTGTCTTTGTTCTCGTTGGTTTCAAAGAACATCTTTATTTCTGCCTTCATTTCGTTATGTGCCCAGTAGTCATTCAGGAGCAGGTTGTTCAGTTTCCATGTAGTTGAGCGGTTTTGAGTGAGTTTCTTAATCCTGAGTTCTAGTTTGATTGCACTGTGGTCTGAGAGATAGTGTGTTATAATTTCTGTTCTTTTACATTTGCTGAGGAGAGCTTTACTTCCAACTATGTGGTCAATTTTGGAATAGGTGTGGTGTGGCGCTGAAAAAAATGTATATTCTGTTGATTTGGGGTGGAGAGTTCTGTAGATGTCTATTAGGTCCGCTTGGTGCAGAGCTGAGTTCAATTCCTGGGTATCCTTGTTAACTTTCTTTCTCATTGATCTGTCTAATGTTGACAGTGGGGTGTTAAAGTCTCCCATTATTATTGTGTGGGAGTCTAAGTCTCTTTGTAGGTCACTCAGGACTTGCTTTATGAATCTGGGTGCTCCTGTATTGGGTGCATATATATTTAGGATAGTTAGCTCTTCTTGTTGAATTGGTCCCTTTACCATTATGTAATGGCCTTCTTCGTCTCTTTTGATCTTTGTTGGTTTAACAAATCCAACAAGTCTCTGTTTTATCAGAGACTAGGATTGTAACCTCTGCCTTTTTTTGTTTTCCATTTGCTTGGTAGATCTTCCTCCATCCTTTTATTTTGAGCCTATGTGTGTTTCTGCACGTGAGATGGGTTTCCTGAATACAGCACACTGATGGGTCTTGACTGTTTATCCAATTTGCCAGTCTGTGTCTTTTAATTGGACCATTTAGTCCATTTACATTTAAAGTTAATATTGTGATGTGTGTATTTGATCCTGTCATTATGATGTTAGCTGGTTATTTTGCTCGTTAGTTGATGCAGTTTCTTCCTAGTCTCGATGGTCTTTACATTTTGGCATGATTTTGCAGCGGCTGGTACCGGTTGTTCCTTTCCATGTTTAGCGCTTCCTTCAGGAGCTCTTTTAGGGCAGGCCTGGTGGTGACAAAATCTCAGCATTTGCTTTCTGTAAAGTATTTTATTTCTCCTTCACTTATAAAGCTTAGTTTGGCTGGATATGAAATTCTGGGTTGAAATTCTTTTCTTTAAGAATGTTGAATATTGGCCCCCACTCTCTTCTGGCTTGTAGGGTTTCTGCCGAGAGATCCGCTGTTAGTCTGATGGGCTTCCCTTTGTGGGTAACCCGACCTTTCTCTCTGGCTGCCCTTAACATTTTTTCCTTCATTTCAACTTTGGTGAATCTGACAATTATGTGTCTTGGAGTTGCTCTTCTCGAGGAGTATCTTTGTGGTGTTCTCTGTATTTCCTGAATCTGAATGTTGGCCTGCCTTGCTACATTGGGGAAGTTCTCCTGGATAATATCCTGCAGAGTGTTTTCCAACTTGGTTCCATTCTCCCAGTCACTTTCAGGTACACCAATCAGATGTAGATTTGGTCTTTTCACGTAGTCCCATATTTCTTGGAGGCTTTGTTCATTTCTTTTTATTCTTTTTTCTCTAAACTTCCCTTCTTGCTTCATTTCATTCATTTCATCTTCCATTGCTGATATCCTTTCTTCCAGTTGATCGCATCGGCTCCTGAGGCTTCTGCATTCTTCACGTAGTTCTGGAGCCTTGGCTTTCAGCTCCATCCACTCCTTTAAGCACTTCTCTGTATTGGTTATTCTAGTTATACATTCGTCTAAATTTTTTTCAAAGGTTTTAACTTCTTTGCCTTTGGTTTGAATTTCCTCCTGTAGCTCGGAGTAGTTTGATCGTCTGTAGCCTTCTTCTCTCAACTCGTCAAAGTCATTCTCTGTCCAGCTTTGTTCTGTTGCTGGTGAGGAACTGTGTTCCTTTGGAGGAGGAGAGTCGCTCTGCTTTTTAGAGTTTCCGGTTTTTCTGTTCTGTTTTTTCCCCATCTTTGTGGTTTTATCTACTTTTGGTCTTTGATGATGGTGATGTACAGATGGGTTTTTGGTGTGGATGTCCTTTCTGTTTGTTAGTTTTCCTTCTAACAGACAGGACCCTCAGCTGCAGGTCTGTTGGAGTTTGCTAGAGGTCCACTCCAGACCCTGTTTGCCTGGGTAGCAGCAGGGATGGCTTCGGAACAGTGGATTTTTGTGAACCGCGAATGCTGCTGTCTGATCGTTCCTCTGGAAGTTTTGTCTCAGAGGAGTACCCGGCCGTGTGAGGTGTCAGTCTGCCCCTACTGGGGGGTGCCTCCCAGTTGGGCTGCTCGGGGGTCAGGGGTCAGGGACCCACTTGAGGAGGCAGTCTGCCCGTTCTCAGATCTCCAGCTGTGTGCTGGGAGAACCACTGCTCTCTTCAAAGCTGTCAGACAGGGACATTTAAGTCTGCAGAGGTTACTGCTGTCTTTTTGTTTGTCTGTGCCCTGCCCCCAGAGGTGGAGCCTACAGAGGCAGGCAGGCCTCCTTGAGCTGTGGTGGGCTCCACCCAGTTGGAGCTTCCGGGCTGCTTTGTTTACTTAAGCAAGCCTGGGCAATGGCGGGCGCCTCTCCCCCAGCCTCGCTGCCACCTTGCAGTTTGATCTCAGACTGCTGTGCTAGCAATCAGCGAGACTCCGTGCGTGTAGGACCCTTCAAGCCAGGTGCGGGATATAATCTCCTGGTGCACCATTTTTTAAGCCCGTTGGAAAAGCACAGTATTAGGGTGGGAGTGACCCGATTTTCCAGGTGCTGTCTGTCACCCCTTTCTTTGACTAGGAAAGGGAACTCCCTGACCCTTGCACTTCCCGAGTGAGGCAATGCCTCACCCTGCTTCGGCTGGTGCACGGTGCGTTGCACCCACTGTCCTGCACCCACTGTCTGGCACTCCCTAGTGAGATGAACCCGGTACCTCAGATGGAAATGCAGAAATCACCCGTCTTCTGTGTCGCTCAGACTGGGAGCTGTAGACTGGAGCTGTTCCTATTAGGCCATCTTGGCTGTCCTCTCAGAATGCTTGTAACTTTTGCACATTGATCTTTTATCATGAGACTTTGCTGAAGTTGCTTATCAGCTTAATAAGCTTTTTGGCTGAGACAATGGGATTTTCTAGATATAGGATCATGTCATCTGCAAACAGAGACAATTTGCCTTCCTCTTTTCCTATTTGAATACCCTTTATTTCTTTCTCTTGCCTGATTGCCCTGGTCAGAAATTCCATTGCTATGTTTAATAGGAGTGGTGATAGAGGGCATCCTTGTCTTGTGCCAGTTTTCAAGGGGAATGCTTCCAGCTTTTGCCCATTCAGTTGTGGGTTGTGGGATATTGGTTGTGGGTTTCTCATAAACAGCTCTTATTATTTTGAGATATGTTATGTCCATACCTAGTTTATTGAGAGTTTTTAACATGAAGGGATGTTGAATTTTATCAAAGGCCTTTTCTGCATCTATTGAGATAATCATGTGGTTTTTGTCATTGGTTCTGTTTATGTGATGGATTACATTTATTGATTGCATATGTTGAACCACCCTTGCATCCCAGGGATGAAGCCGACTCGATTGTGTAGGATAAGCTTTTTGATATGTTGCTGGATTAGGTTTGACAGTACTTTATTGAGTATCTTTGAATCGATGTTCATCAGGAATATTGGCCTTAAGTTTTCTTTTTTTGCTATGTCTCTGCCAGATTTTGGTATCAGGATGATGCTGGCCTCATAAAATGAGTTACAGGGAAGTTCCTCCTTTTCAATTGTTTGGAATAGTTTCAGAAGGAATGATACCAGATCCTCTTTGTACCTCTGGTAGAGTTCAGCTGTGAATCTGTCTGGTCCTGGGCTTTTTTTTGGTTGGTAGGCTATTTATTACTGCCTCACTTTCAGAACTTGGTATTGGTCTATTCAAGGATTTGACTTCTTCCTGGTTTAGTCTTGGAAATGTGTCCAGGAATTTATCCATTTCTTCTAGATTTTCTAGTATATTTGTCTAGAGGTGTTTATAATATTCTCTGATGGTAGTTTGTATTTCTGTGGGATCAGTGGTGATATCCCCTTTATCACTTTTTTATTGTGTCTATTTGATTCTTTTCTCTTTTCTTCTTTATTAGTCTAGCTAGCAGTCAATCTATTTTAGTTTTTCAAAAACCATCTCCTGGATTCATTGATTTTTGAAGGTTTTTTTTTGTGTCTCTATGTTTTTCTATTCTGCTCTGATCTTGGTTATTTCTTGTTTTCTGCTAGTTTTTGGATTTGTTTGCTCTTGCTTCTCTAGTTTTAGTTGTGAGCACATCGCTTTTTGAAGCCCTCTCTGTTTAGGTGACAGCTGGCATTTCTGTATATAGTCACATGACACCAACTGCAACTGCAAGGGAGGTGGAAAGTGGAGAGGGGCACATGGATATTCATGGAGCACTGTCTCTACCACAAATGAAAACTAAGGAAAAATATCTTCTTATCCTGTAATTCTGAACTCTGTTGGTTCTTTGTGGATTTTATAGGAGTATCATAGTGCTTTCAAATGGTACTGTGGTTTAGGAGCTAGGCCAACTTTTGTGATAAATACTCTAAAACTGCTAACTATGGGTCTTAAATGTTGTCTAACTTCTCAATAATAATGATAATTATAATAATGGTAATAATTATATTAAAAATAAAAACTTTGAGAGTTTTCTATAACCTTATACCATGCTTAGAGCTTACATAGATTATCTTATTTAACCTTTCCACTAATAAAAAGTAGATTATTGCCCTCATTCTACAACTAAAGAAACAAGGGCTAATATTATAAAGAACTTGCCCAAGGGCTCACAGTCAGGATTTTAAACTGGATAGTTAGATGAGAAGCTGCATTTTTACCCTTTGCTAAAGTTCTCAGTCTAGAGTTTCTTATTTGTTGAAAATAGAATGCTAATTCTTACACGAAATAATTTGTTAGACATCTAGCACATTGCCTGTTACTCATACTAGCTTGGTGCCTAATAAGTATTCAAGCAGTATTAGTTCCCCACCTTCGTATGTAAAGAAGGCAGGCAGAAGCCATACCTTCATATGTAAAGAAGGCAGGCAGAAGCCATACCAGCTCTACTATTGATTACTGTTATATGCTTTCCAACATAATTGAAAATAATTATCAAATTATCAAACATAATTTAGGTCTTACAATTTTTGCTGCTTTATTGATTTTTCATAATTCATTGATTCCATAGAATAACCATCTCTAGGCCAACTAACTAATGTAAAAGTGAAATTGATTCCAGGATGTAACCCTCTGCTGAGAGTAACTCTTCAAGGAACAGTGTGAGGAAATGTGCTCTTGAGAGAACAAAATTTAATCCTAAATATCACTAAGTATTGTCTCAAATCTTCCCCTTTAAAACTCATATATAAGGCCAGGTGCTGTGGCTCACGCCTGTAATATCAGCATTTTGGAAGGCTGAGGCGGGAGAATTGTTTGAGGCCAGGAGTTCAAGACCAGCCTGGGCAACATACTGAGACCTCATCTCTAAAAAAAAAAAAAAAAAAAAAAAAAAAAAAAAAAAAAAAATTATCTGGGAGTGGTGGCATGTGCCTATAGTATCAGCTATCAGAAGGCTGAGGTGGGGAGATTGCTTGAGCTCAGGAGTTCAAGGCTGCAGCAAACCATGATTGTGCCACTGCATTCCAGGCTGGATGACAGAGCGAGACCCTGTTTCTAAAAGGAAACAAACAAACGAATCTCATATGTAAATAATTTGATACATATTTAAAATAGATTAAGCACATGCCTTTTTGCCACCCCAGAACATCAGGCATTATTTTGGCTGACTTTGCACAACAATGTTGGAGTGGTATCATGAAGCAACTGAATCTGCTGGTCATAACTATGAGAATAGATAGCTCAATATCTTCTGTGCCAAAAGCAGGATCAAGACTTTAGGCAACTGGTTTTCGGTATCCAAATGACCATACTAAAAAAATATCCAGCAGATTGACTGGCTAATTTTCCACAAGTGCACTTTGTGGTTAATATTTCTTGGCTATCCTATTGAGATAGATTAATTTTATACCCATGTTACATTTAATAGTGCCCAACACACAGTAGGTGCTCAATAAATATTTAACAAATGAGTAGAATCAGGCCCTTTAAATTTCTTGGCATCCATGAATATCCAGCTTTCTATCACCACACAAGATTGTCTAGGTAAACTAGTACATGGTTTAGCTTACAAAAAGAAGAGAACTTGTTTTGAAGTCAGATAAACTTTAATTCATATTAATTGGTACCACCAATTAATAGTTCTGAGATTTTGAGCCAATTAATGAACAGCTCTGTATGCCACTTTCTCCATCTGTTTTGAGTGTTCACTTTAACATGTTTAACATAATAAAGAGTATGTCTATAGTAGGTAAGCAATAATACTGGTTCAACTTTCTTTCTTCCCTTGTGTTATTGAGTTGAGAGTTAATATCATACAAGTCATATGACACATATTTCTGTGACTCACTAAAAATATCTTATCTACTGCCTGTTTTTTGATTTCAGGTTTATTATATAAAGAAACAATTGAATATGTTCTTCCTGAAGTTTAGCTGATGAATTTTATCTTTCCTATGAATTGGTATTATATATTTTATGAGATTAATAAATCAAAACCTGCCACTCACTGTGGTTTTGTTGTTGTTATTATTTTTTTTCCTTTGGTGTTCCAGAAGCGTGACACTAAGTTTTGTGCTCAAGGCAATAGATATTCATAACTTAAGTCTTCTGGTAAAACTGTCATCTCCTAGCTTGCTTTATTTGACATTTGTTTTTAAAACTGGATTTAATGGTTTTATTGTTTCTCTATCTTTTACCGTGAGCTAGACAAATCCTTTATGGAACCATACAGAATATAAATAATAAATGAAAGAATAAAATAGTTTGCCCAAGGTTTCACAGCTATTAAGTGCAGAACTGATCCAGGCTCAGTGCTGTTTTCAGCTATATCATTCAAAAGAAACAAAGTTTAACCTCCAAAAATTCTTAAACCTCAATGTTTCCCACTCAGGAACTGACTATCAGAAACATAGGACAGTCATTCACAAATGAAAATGAGGAGAGAATGCTTCTGAAATATAGGCTATTAAAGTGCAATCAAAGCTTTGGACACCTGCAGGAGAAGATCAATAATGTGGGACATTTTTCTTTGCAAAATTCTATGGCTATAGGCTAGCAATTGAATTGATGATGAGTGCTCAGGTGCTGATACCAAGGAGAGTCTTTTATGACATTATTTTTAACTTCCACATCCTTTGTTTACATGTCGATCTGCATTGCTTCCACTTTTTGACTTTTAATTATTCCTCTTTGAATGGTGGCATCTTTTATATCTACTATTGTCTAAAACAGTGATTCTCAAAATGTGAAACTTGTTAGAAGTACAGATTCTTGGCCTTATCCTAGTATTACTGAATCAGAAACTTTGCATTTTATAAGCCCCCTAGCTAGTCCTAATCCATGTTAAAACTTCAGAATCTCTGCTGTAGACCAAGTATTGGCTAAGCATGCTTTCTCAACATGAATTTTTTTTTCTTTGTAGGTTTAAATAATCTGCTGTCTTGTTCTATGACTTGAACTCAGGAAACACTAAAATGTATAACTAGAGAAAAGTCATTTTTAGCACTGATAATATTTTTCTGTAGTGTGCTTGATGGAATATTTTCATGGGCACATTTTATAAAGAAAAAATTATATTTGAACTTTATAGTCATGACAAGGAATACTATATAGAAGCTGAAGGATGAAATGTAGTCTATTAAATATGCTCTGAACCTTTCAAAACTCAATTTAGATTTGTAAGCTTAGGGCACAGATGGGATCTGGGGGAAGCTCTTTAACACATCATATTTGCTATCAAATTTTTGGTTATGACATCAATCTAAGAAAATTTCCTATGCTATTATGTCCATGCCTTACCGCTTAAACTAGTAATTAAAATAGACTTTTACCAATTATTTGAGATGCTTTCATGAACATCTTCCCTAACTTCCAAATTTTACCTGAAGTTTAATTCAAAGTGAGGTATAAAGAAGAAACTTGAAAGGAAATTATATGTTTATGTGTGTGTGAATTCACAAACCTTGTAATGATGATTTTTAATTGGTTGATTGCTGATGCTTGAATCCAAATCTCCAGAATGTTATGCCAATGACTTGTATTTTATCAAGCCCTGTTTCTCCAGTGTGCATCCCCAGGTGGTTGAGATGCACACTCATATCTGAGAACCAGTGAAAAGGAAGGTTCAGGGATATTTTTAGTTGGGGAAAACACAGATCAAGTCTCCCCTCAAACATTACAACTTTATACCTGTAACTTGGCTTCTAGTAGTTGCTGTATACATGGTAGCTGATTGAATTAATGATATTGAATGAGCGCAGGTGGTTAGTTGCTACTGTGAAAGTTGTCAAAATCAGAATGGAGTCACTTGTGTTAAAAAAAGAAAGGAAAAAACCATGACAAATAGAACAGAGGAAGGCCATAAAGAGAAGCGTTCACATGCGTAAATACCTGGTAAAAACTATCACAAAGGGCTGAAAAACCCATGAGTTTGCGCCAAGACCATCACAACCTTATGCAAAAAATGTTTCTGCAAAGACATCTGCCCAGCAATTTCCTGTCCCACTTTGGACTGGCATTACCTTTGTTATTGATCCTTGTAGCCAAGGATAATTATCTCAAAATAGTTAGATAATCATCCTCATTTTTCCTTTAAAAACCTCTGTTTTCCTTTACCTCCTGGAATACACACATAGTTTACTATGGCACATATACTGCCATTGCAATACTCTATTCCAGAATATATATTATTTTATTTCTATTATATAGAAAGAGCCCTTTTCTGCTTGGTAGTTTCTTTTTGCTTTCAGCACTTTTTTAATTCTGTAGAATGTATTATCCATACTTTAACTACTTTCTTATTTAATTGTCTTCATTCTAGACTGAACCTTATCTTTTTTTGGTTATATTTTGAGTGCCAAACCTAGTATTTGGCAAATAATATGTATATCATCAGCATTTGTTGGGTTAAACAGTTCTAAATATTAAATAGGGTAGCTCTTAGAGTAAACCTGAGAGATAAGTGACATGAATCGTTAAGCTTCTTTGGTTTATTTGAATATACATTGAAATGTTGGAAGAGGAGAGACAACAAGTTGAATCAACTATGATATATTGACTGAGACCATAGCTGGAAAAGCCACAGTGAAGTCCAAAGGCACAGGGCCGTGCCACAATACAACATTAAGTCAGGAGTCTGGAACACAAAGTTCATTGCCAATGATTAGTTTATACATGCAATACAGTTGAGAAAGCCACACTTCCAAAGTGAAGGGAATAAGTAAGGGAAGGGGAGATATATTTTCTTGGTTTGGTGAGGCTAGTGTGTGCTAAAGATTTTGTGTGTGGTCAGAAACAGAATATTAAAAGATATAAAGAAGGGTCAGAACATGACAAATGGCAAGTTAGGCACTTCATTCATCCCAAATTAAACTTGACAGATGAATTCATGTTATATTCTAGCTCCAGTTGCTTTTTAACCTTTCTTAGCCAGGAAAAAAAGCAGGGCTTTATTCAGGCTGTTCTACTCATATGCCAAAAAGTCTAGAGTAGAAATGGACCATGGTGTGGAGAGCAGTTCCTGGTACTGTGGTTGAAATCAAGGATTGTTTAAAGACTGATGTTCTTTTTTCTGCCACTGTCCACACCCATTGTCTAAATTCTAAATCCTGTTGTTGTCTCCTTGAATAGGCTTGCAATGTCCTGATTTTTAATAGTCTTGTTTAATTCCCTATCTCATGCTCCACAAACTGCTTTCTTGATTTCAGAACTTTTATTATTGCATTTGCAGATCACTTAATTTTTGGTTTCCTGTCCAAGCAACATAAGTTCCTATAAGTCCACTCTATTCTTTGAGGTCTTAGTGCATTTGCAATGAATGCTGCCACCATATCCGATGCAATCTTAGGTTGGTGCCTGTCACACGTATTCTACTTTCAAGTCTGTCTCAGTCTTATCTGGAGGCCTCAAGATCCTAGCACTGGATTTGTAGGTTTTGCCACCTGTGTTCACATGGGCTCCATTGTATTCTCCTCATTTACATCACTGATGCTGCTTGGATCCCTTTCTAAGTGAATATGGGGAAAATTAGATAGTACTTCTATTTCAAGTTTTTATTTAGAGATGAAATGCCAAAACTTTCCAGGAAAAATAGTTTTATTATCAATCCAGAGGTTCAGAGCCCAAGGAGATTTAAATCTTTCAAATTATATCAGAATTCGATTTTCAGAAAAGTTAGTGTATGTTAAAATTATACAAAAAGTCTTTGGTTTAGATTCTGGACTCAGAACATTATAGGCAGATTTTTCACTAATTAAAGCTTTGGCAGGACACTCACAAGTTGTGAGGTATGTGAGAAATTATTCATTGCGTGGGAATGTCTCACATCTCACTTCTTGTAGGACAACCAGCATTCTTTGACAAACCAAATCAATCTAAACTGTACCTCTCCCCTTATTGTGGCATTTTAAAACCTGCCCACAAATCTCCTAAATGCCCCAAATGGGTCAAAACCACCTTTAATGAGAATCACTGGCATAGATTGTTTAATTTTCAGTCACTGGGATTGGGGAGGAACCCACAGAAAATGTGGGTGCTTAAAACCTGAACAAAATCAGCAAGAAGGGTGACTGCTGGGAAGGCATCCACCAGTGTATGCCACAGGAATGGGCTAGATGATATTCTGTGAGGTCCCTTCTAGCTATAGAATTCTTACTATTTATGTCATAAGTACAATATAAGATCATTTGTGGATAAATAATCACAGGTAATGGATATTTATATTATACATATGTATTATAGTTCAAAATTTTAAAGACAGACTCATCAATTACTAAATATAATTGATAGATGAACTTCTCTTAAAAATAAAAAATGCAACAATTAAGATATTTAAAATCTAAGCTTCCAAAAAATAAAGTGTCATATGGTATTTTAGAATAATATTAATTCAAAGAAGAATTTTGCTATGCTTAATTCAGAACAATAGCATTTGTGATATTAATGAGGACAAATGAAGTCAAGACTGTTTAATTCAAATTTACCCAATTAAAATAATTAAAACTTTACATAAGTTTGTATCTTAGTTCTTTCTGAGAAAAGGTTGTAGATACAATTTTTTATCTGTTCTCATGTGACTGGTATAATGGGTGACCAGTGATCATCTTTGTCTTATTTACTTGAATCCTGAAGGATCTAATATCACCTCTGAGACCAATGCATGTTCAGTAGCTATAGATGTTTATTCTATAAATGAATGTCTCTATGAGATACTTTAGAAAAGATTATGTGAATCAAATCTAAGATTAGTCTATTATAAATAGTTTTAATGATGAAAAAAACAATTTCTTTGCATTTTTTCCCTAAGCTCTTTTACTCGAGGTAATCTTGCATGGACTGATACATATTTTTTTTCTATGTGAACTTCATGAACTAGATGATAGATGGCTAAGTGTCAGTAATCATTAAAAGAACAAGTTTCTGTACATCTCATTATCATTCTGCCTGTTCACTTGCCTCATGTTTTTGCTGTTCTTCTTTTTGACAGGGATTCGATAAACAAGTGGATGTGTCATATATTGCCAAACATTACAACATGAGCAAAAGCAAAGTTGACAACCAGTTCTACAGTGTGGAAGTGGGAGACTCAACCTTCACAGTTCTCAAGCGCTACCAGAATCTAAAGCCTATTGGCTCTGGGGCTCAGGGCATAGTTTGGTAAGCGGAATGGATTTGCTGTATTTTTAAAGGGAACACACCGTGTGCAACTACTAGACACAAACACACAAACAAACAAAATCCCCAAAATAAATAGCATAATTTGGGAGGGAAAAATAATCCTACTGAAGAAAAAAAAATAACATTATGAGCATTATGTTTAATTTGTTATCCACTTGCTAACAATATATACAACTTGGCTTGTGACATGTTTTTTTTTTGGTCAGAGAAAAAAAGTTATTACACAAGAATCATAAAGAAATAAAGAGAACCAGAGATTTTCTAGCAGTTGCTAATGTATTTGTAGAGTTTTATTTGTTGCACAGCAAGAAATGAGGGGACATGTCTTAAGATAACAGCAAATAAAACTCCTTATATGCTAGAGTGGAATAAAAGCTATTTCAAATGTTTCTGTAACTTTTCAAATTCAGTGTTTGAAACTGAGTTACCGATTTAGAAAAAGTAGTATTTTAAAAATGTTTGCCTCATGTTTCCAAAATGGAAAGATTCTGGGCTGCTTAGTAACAATTCTTTTATGACATTTTTGAGTAGCTAATTAAAATTATGACAAATCTAGATCTGATTTACCTAAGACTCTTGCAAAATTCATGATATCAGGTTAATTGATAAGCATTTCTTTTACACAGTTTTAATTTGTAATGTCACAACCAAATGTATTTAATATAAACTTATTAGTATAATCATTTTTAATCTTTCTGATGGCTCACACAGATAAGTAAAAATTCAGGGCATGTACCCTGAATATGTATATTTATATATGTGTATTTATTTATAAAGGATATTTATTTATACAATATATTTATTTATTACTGCTACATTCATAATGTCCATTTAAAAACACAAACACTTTTAAGGGATGAGATGAATTTACAGCAAATCACCATAAACTTAGCCACTTTCTTGCTGATCTTACAGTTCTGTAGGTCAGAAGTCCTACAAGATTTCATTTTAGCCCAGTGGGGCTAAGATCAAGATGGTGGCAGGCTGGGTTCCTTTCCGGAGGTGCTGGAAGAGAATCTATTTCCCTGATCATTTGAATTGTTGGCAGATTTCAATTCCTTGCAGTTGTGATAAAAAAAAAGAGGTTTAAAATTTAAAATATTTTAAATGTTTTAAAGTTTGTGTTTAAATGGCTAAGTTTATGGTGATTTGCTATGCTAGCAATATTAATGCACATGGTATAGTAAAGATTCTAATATTAAGACAATTGCTGTAACTCTCCTAAATTTACCAGTGGCGGGAGAAAAAGAGTAGTTTCTGGCTACCTTTCTTGATGGAAAATTGTAGAATATTAACATGAGAAAGTTTTCCTGACTAAGATTCTCAGTCCAGGTGCTCAAATATTAATTGGGATAGTTTCATTTTCCTTTGAACAGACCTGCCACAGATTTGTGGCAGTGAAACTGAGTACTGTCAGTGAAAGAAAACTGATAGACCTTTAATGACTCAAAAATAGATCCAAAGCAGCATTTTGCTCAGGAAGTTAACAGATTATCACAAAGATTTGAACATTTTCTAATAATTTTGTAGTATGTTTTATAGGATATTTTGGGCCTCTATTTCTCCTTTCTATAGGGTGGAAGTTATCTTTGGCTTAGATATAGATACTGCAAAATTTTTTATATTGCCTTTGTCAACTGTGAGCTCATCTGCCTCTCTTATGTCAAATGCATCCATTCCCAGACATGCTTCTGAAATCCACAGACCTTTTCTATGTGCACAACTGTCAGAGTACATAATATCTTGAATGTTCCATGCAATCCTGAGTATAGTGACTGGTGCAAACTGGAAACTGGGCATATCTGAGATCTCTGATGGACAGACAAACTGAAACATATCATTAATTTATTTTGCCTTATTTTCTTTGGAGCAGAAATACAACATGGAGGAAAAAATTACAAAACAGATATCATCATTTTTGTCCATGTGTCACCGCATGTAATTTTGCATGTGTATGCAAGAGAAATTCTGCTTTTCAAGCATAAGTATTGGCATATGGATACCTATTATGTCATAGAATCTCCATCCTCCTAACTTGTTTGAAATGGAGTCTCATTTCTACTGTTCTGGTTACCTTAAACTTGTTATTGGGTTTTTACAATCTTTTCCCCCACTTTGGACTGTTTTATTTCTTACTTATCAGCATGGGGGAAAAGGTAATACTAAAATATCTTCAAAAGAAGTTATTACTATACTATATTTCATTTACCATTGATGGTAGGTCAAAAATGTCAATGTTGAGCATGATTAAACAAAAGCTACTGTGAAATATTGGAAAAAAATGAAAATTTTCCTTCTGCCTTTGAGGGAAAGAAAAGATTATCTGTTGAAGCAGAAACAATGAGAATTATTCTGCTTCACTGTGTGAGCTGAGAAGTTCTCTACAGCCTCGTAGGTGGGGAATTGTAGAATAATCTGCAAGATGAGTTTTTAGCAACAGTGGTCAGGATCCAGAAGAGCAACTCATTCAGAACATTTTTCCAATCATCAGAAGAGGGTCTCATTAGTGTTTTTTCTGTTACCAACTCCGGAACAAAAACAAGCATGGGAAGAAATCAACAGTAGGGGTTTCATTGTTTTCACTCACATCTATCCTGCTGTTTCTTGCCAAGCCAAGGAACATTTTCTACTTTCTCATTTCTCTCTCTAAAGATGATTCAAATGGACAGCCAAAGTGGTGGCAAAAGTTAACAACTAAGTTTAGCAGAGACAGCTTGCCAGGGCTGGTCTGCTCTTTAACTGAAAAGAGCTGATTGTATGGTTTTAAATGAAAGGAAGTGAAGCCATATTATTTCTGTCTTGGTGGTGTTACACACCATCAGCTTGTAAGTGGTCACAATTCAATTTTGCAAGATGATGTTAGGCAGGATATTTACAGAAAACTGTAAGACGAATACAATTCTAAGATAAAATCATAGAATTGTAAAATATCTGTACCTTGAAAATTAAGTATTTAAAAATAAGATGATACATTTTATGTTAACCAACCTTTAAAAAAATTCCACTTGGAGCTAGAGGATGGCATTTAATTAAAGTTGAAATAATCATAGTTATAAGATGCCCTGGGAATAATCCAATGGATTAGTTTATCTTAAATGGAATATATATCCATGTATATGTATACGTACCCGTATTTGTGGTTTAGCTTTCTGTGGTTTCAGTTACACATGATCAACTAGGATACGAAAATATTAAATGAAAAATTCCAGAAATACTTTGTAAGTTTTAAATTGTACACCATTCTGAAATCTTGCCCTGTCTCACTCTATCTCATCCCATCCTTCTGGGGATGTGACTCATCCCTTTGTGTAGCATATCCAGGCTGTCTATGATACACCTGTTGGTCACTTAGTGGCAGTCTCAGTTATCAGAGCAACTGTTGCAATATTGCAGTGCTTGTGTTCAAATTTTTCTTATTTTAATTAATAACGGCTCCAAAATACAAAAGTAGTGATGCTGGCAATTTGGATGCAGTAAAGTGCTTCCTTTAAGTTAAAAAGTGAAAGTTCCCAACTTAATGAGGAAAGAACAAAAATCTTATGCTGAGATTGCTAATGTCTTCAGAAAGAATGAATCTTCTATTTATGAAATTTGAACAGTATGTTATTGCAGTTGTTCTATTTATTATTCTTGTGAATCCCCTACCGTGCTTAATTTATAAATTACACTTTATCATAGGCATATATGTGTAGGAAAAAACATAGTATATATAGAGTTCACTATTATCCAGTTTCAGACATCCACTGGGGGTCTTGGAATGTATCTGCCTCAGACAAGGGGGTACTACTGTAATGAATATGTAATACCAATATACGATTATTATATATTATATATACATACATATTAATCCGGTGGGTTAGTTTATCTTAATTGGTTAGGTATCATATATGTCATTTTAAATATTATATATATGATAGGATATATATCTTTTTGTTTTGGACAAAAATTTGAAAAAATCATTTCTGGTGAATGTCCTTCAATAAGTGGTCTACAGTAACAAGACTATGCAGATAAACAATTTAAGATATAAATTGCCAGGCATGTTCAGCAGAAACTCAGGTGTTCACATATTCTTCTTTGAAAAAAAGTTCTCCCTTTTAAATGTGCTCATTTTCATTTAAAAAAAGACACTATTTACTCTGATGTGTTTAGCAGCTTTTTCCATTTTGATGATGAATTTGATTTACTCCATCCGCACTCTGATTTAATCACCCTTGAACTAATAACATCCATCCACAAAATGATTGGAAAAGGTTGGGAACATCTTCCCTAAAGGGTTGGTAAATATGCACCAGAACAAAAGTGATTGAAAGTTGGCCATGTTAGGGTGCATGACAGAAAGGTATTTAATATATATTTCTTGCTGATAAAAATTACGAGAAAAATTGATGAAGTTCTCAGGATTCTGTTAAAATTTGCATATTTAAATATTATAGATTCAATTGTCAGTACTTTAAGATACCTTATATTATCATCTTTAGTAATTATAGTTACAAATAAACTTATGCCGAAAAAATATTTTTTTTCCCATTGTGGTTTATCAGTGATAGCTTTTAACTTTCAGTCTTTCAGAATCTAGGTTTACTCATCTGTAAAATGGATTTTCTCATAGGACTCAGGAGAGTACAAAACAAGCTAGATACATAAAATTGCTTTATAAATCTGAAATTGTCGTGACTTTTAGTAGATTCAAGAAAGGAAGGCTTATGATACTTTTTCTTAACAATGGAAAATTGTAAAGGTCAGCACATGTAACCTAGGAAAATGCCTGATGGTAACAGTTGCTTCATCATCACACTGTGTATATTGTATACATATTACAGTTAAGAGCATGGGATTTAATAAAATAACTTTACTAATACTCCATCATGGAGGCTGGCAGAGAAGCATTTGAACTTTTTTTTTCTCCTATCTTTCATCCAGGGCTTCAGTTAACCAATATTATTTACAATATGTTAGTTGTAAACATTAGTTTTTAAATCTGCAGCACAATTTCACAGGGCCAGCTAAGGATCTTTAAGCACAGAATATGGATGGGAGCATCTTATGGTTATGAGGTTGGTGACATGAAGAGAGATGGGTAAGATCATCCAGAGGTTTTCCAAAGCATCACTCTTCCTCAATAATACAAAACAGACTTGATCAGTGGGCCCCAGATGATTTTATTTTGTTTCTGCAAACATTACTCAAGCTCTTGTGGCACATTTCTCTTAAGAGTTTCTAATGAGCCATTACGCTAAATGACACGGATTTAATCACACATTTCCATTTAGCCCCTGACCAGTGGAAATGATTATCCTCTCATGTACATCTGTAATATCAGCATATTCTTCATCCCTGGCATTTTCCATTAATTTTAAAATTTTGGACCCTTAATCGCAACCTCCTTGAAATAAGGAACACTGAGCTTCAAAATACTGTCTTTTATATATGTAGCAGGTTTAAGGTGGTGATGGCCCAGCAGAATAGGACAGAATTAGACACTGTATTCTTCCACATTTTGCTGTTCTCCTAGGCCTCTTTGCACAGTACAGGCCACACATATTTACCATATTTCTCAATTGATCAATAAGACTGGTAAATGTCATTTTTTTTCCTTTACGAAGAAAATGTGGTGTTTTGAAAAGCAATGTGTAGAAGTTTGATGGCAGTATATTTACAGAAAAAACAATTATACATATATGTAATACCCACATTTCTATGTGTCAACCATAAATTATATGTGTGTCCTTATGTATAAATATTTAATTGTTGATGTGATAACTAATGCTGAAGGGGTTGGTAATTCATAATCTTAAAAATTATTTTTGGCTTTGGAATGTTTTGTGGACATTTATTCTGAATTCTGTCATTCTTCAGTTAATTTGTAATTAACTTACATCCCTGTAGTAAAAACTGACAGCAAGAGTTTGTAGCCTGGGAGCACTTTTCTTGGCAGATTTGAAAAATAGTCATTTAAATTTCCATAGATAATTATTTACTTACAGATGATTGAGTCTTTTCTGTAAATCATTTGTTGATATAAATACTAATGTCCCTATTAGAAGAAATAATTAGTAAATACATTATTTATTTTTCAGTTTCAACTTCCCTCCTAAAGATTAAATAGTTAAGTGATGCTGGTTCTTATTTTTTTTAGAACTTGTCTTTTAGGGCATCAGTGAATATTTTCATTGTGGAATTAAAGTCAGTTTATAGTCCATATACTATTTTTTCAGATTAATCCTGATTGTTAGGATTAAAATGTATCCATGGTTATGTTAAAAAGTAACCTACAGCCCAAATATAAATATCTAACAAGTTAATCTAGCACCATCCAGTGCATCTTGGAAAAGCCAAAATTCCTCACAGAAAGGAGGCAGTTTGATCAGTTGAATTAAATTATGCTAAATAACAGGTGGCAATGGCTGTCCCTCAGATTCTGGGAAGCATTCTCATTTACTGCTCTAAGAGACCTGTGCATTCCATCTGTAGATAAGCTGGCTTTGTTTTTTTTAAAAAAGATAGTAGGTATGTGTTATAAATTTTGTAACGAAAAATACCAAGGCTTAGAGGAGCTTTTTATACAGCTCAGAGGGAAGGTAGTTGGCCCTTCTCTCTACTAAGTCATGCTTCTGGCCTGTTACAGCATTACTTTCTGTTTCTAGAGTCTGAGCTGTCTTTGCTAATCATGGATTTGAATGTGGGGGCTGAGGACAAAGGAAGACATCTTTTAGTTTGGAAGATGGAGTGACAGCCCTATCATTCCCTTTGTGCGCTCTCTGCCTCTCCTGTGATGGAATTTAAATTTATTTAAAATATTTGACCTTGTCAAGTAAGTTTCACTTTACATGTCCAAAGTTATGAATCCAGCATTGAGCCATTGCATTTTAAGCTTCTGTGTATGACAGGAGAGTCTAAATTATCATCAGGGAAGGTACTCAGTCACTTCATTTGACATTTATTTAAATACATGTACCTTAGGGTTCTTGTGCTGTGCTCTTCTTCATTTCTATTCTTCTTTATTTTTTATCATTAAAAACATTTTTCACAGATTTTAATATGTCCATTAATAAAATCATGATTTCACTCTCAATCCAGGGAGATGCAACCCCAAATATATTTTTAAAAGTTTTCCTTTGGGTTCACCAAGGACATCAGAATATGGATGGGAAGTGTGAGCCCTGCACAAGAGGACTGAGATGAGGGACTTGTACGGGCGGAACTCCAGCCTGGGCTCTACCCGTGGACTCTGATACGTGGTCACCTCCGCCTCGAGGAGCTGCTTTTTCTCACACCCACACCAGGTGGGCTGGCAGCAAATATTAAATGAACTTTAGATTTGAAGTGACCATGACAGAAACTCAGTTTAACTAGCAAAAATATAAGTTGCAAAATACTTAGTTTACAGAAGATCTAATACATCTGGGATGTTAAATAATTCACTGGCATGATGATTTAAGACACCTGAAGAAAATGCAAATAATCAGGGAGCAGAGGAAAATTATAAGCCAAATTGTTGTCATGTTAACATTCTCCCTTCTCTTCAGTGACCCTGCTTCTCTCATCCCTTTTCCCTCCCTACATCTTTTTATGGACATCTCTCTTTCAAGGCATCCCTGTTCTCTGAACCTGTCACACTCCTGCTGGATTAACTTTTTCACCATCTAGCCAGGAACCATGAAGAGTGATTTCAGACACTCTCAGATGCTCTTTATTTTCTCACCTCCTTGTCCTCTGAAGCTTTGTTTTCCAAACTCTCATCCGGATCAGCCCAAGTGGCTGTTTTCTCTGCTCCTGCTGGAAGGCTGAGCCCAGCTGGAGGAATGATATAATCACACTGATTTCCTCCATTATAAGTTTATGAGCTTCATCCTCAGCTGGGCCCTTGTTCCTGCTCAGCAACCATTTTGCATATATGTCTCGTCAGCTCCCTAGCCATTTCCCAAGGCGGCTGTTACAATCCTTTTACAACTTTCATGAAAGCTCCCAATTCCACTTCACCAGCAACATTCTTTACAGAAGGTCTTACCTCCTACTTCCCTGAGAAAACAGATGGACTCAGGCATGTAAACTCTCAATTTCCCCTTCAATCTCCTAACTCTTTGTCATCTCCAGTCTTCCCTGCCCAGTTAGTTCCTTCATGAGGGACACCGTCAGGCTGGCCACCCACCTGTGTTCTTGATTCCATCTCCACCCGTTGGGACCTATTAGTTTTTGTCTGTCTTGCATTGACTGATGCTTCTTCTCCCCTGCCTATGGACGACCTCTCACCAAATTCTCATCTACAAAAAAAGTTATTTAGAATGTGCCTACCCCTCAAACAACCCCTCTTTCTCTCCTTCCCTCATCATCACACTTCTTGATAGTCTGAAGTTAATGCCTCCACATACCTTTTTAGTTCTCATTTTACAAGCAGTTCCAATTCTTTTTTTTGAGACGGAGTCTCACTCTGTCGCCCAGGCTGGAGTGCAGTAGTGCGATCTTGGCTCACTGCAAGCTCCACCTCCCTGGTTCTTGCCATTCTCCTGCCTCAGCCTACTGAGTAGCTGGGACTACAGGAGCCCACTGCCACGCCCTGCTAATTTTTTTGTGTTTTTAGTAGAGACGGGGTTTCACCGTGTTAGCCAGGATGGTCTCGATCTCCTGACCTCGTGATCTGCCCGTCTCGGCCTCCCAAAGTGCTGAGATTACAGGCGTGAGCCACCGCGCCTGGCCAAGCAGTTCCAATTCTATCACATTACCCCTGTGGAGGAGGATGCTCTGGGGAGGCAACCATTGACCTCCTAAGTGGCTAATCCATTGGCTTCTTTTTCAGCTCTCATTTTATTATTATTATTTTTATTTCAATGGCTTGTGAAGTACAAGTGAGATTTTTTTGTTATATGGATGAATTATATAGAGGTGAATTCTGAGATTTTAGTGCACCCATCACCCAAGTGGTGTACATGTTACCTAATGTGTAGTTTTTTATCCCTTGACCCCCTCTTACCCTTTTTCTCCTGAGTCTCTGAAGTCCATTGTATCACGCTGTATGCCTTTGTGTACTCACAGCTTAGCTTCCACTTTTGAGTAAGAACATACAATATTTGGTTTAACATTCCTATGTTACTTCACTTAGAATAATGGCCTTCAGCCCCATTGAAGTTGCTGCAAAAGACATTTCATTCCTTTTAATGGCTGAGTGGTATTCCATGGTGTATATACCACATTTTCTTTATCTACCCATCAGTCAGTGGGCACTTACGTTGGTTCCACATCTTTGCAATTATGAATTCTTTGGCTCCCGTTTTTTTTTACTTTTCTGTAATATCTGGAAAGGTTAAATATCCAATTCTTCTTGAATTCTATCTTCTTTTGAATTTTAAGCTAAGAATTTTAAAAATCTGGGGCTCGTTTGGAATGGGATGGACTGGCCAACATACTGAGGGCTGTGAAAGGCCGTGGTTAGAGTGCAGACTCTAAGATCCTGGCTCCCTCTTACCTGTGTGGGATCTCAGGAACTTTATCTGAAGATGGGGCTGGAAGAAATAACTATGTATGCACAGAATTGCTGTTAAAGCAAACTAAATTAGTTAATACAGTGCCTGGATTTACTTAGCAGTCAGTGCCTGTTAGTTTTCATTATTGTAGCTGGCCTGGCTTATGGCCAGGTTCTCAGAGGTTGGTTTGATTAGGGAACTGTCTTTTCTAGTTCAATGTTCAGAATGCCAGTAAAATAATCCAATCCAGGTTGGGTGCGGTGACTCGTGCCTGTAATGCTAGCACTTTGGCAGGCCGAGGTGGGTGTATCACCTGAGGTCGGGTGTTCAAGACCAGCCTGGCTATCATGGCGAAACCTGTTTCTACTAAAAAATACAAAAATTAGCCAGGCGTGGTGGTGGGTGCCTATAATCCCAGCTACTTGTGGGGCTGAGGCGGGAGAATCGCTTGAACCTGGGGGGCGGAGGCTGCAGTGAGCCGAGATTGCGGCACTTCACTCCAGCCTGGGTGGAAGAATGAAACTCCATCAAAAAATAAATAAATAAATAAACAAATAAAATCCAATCCAAAGCCACTGAGGCCAAGATTTGAATTGGTGGCCAGAGCAAAAGGAGTCAGAAAGACAGGTACTAATTTTCAAGCCTAATGAGAATGAGATTCTAAATGAGAGAAGGAAGGCAAAAGCCAAGAACCAGGCCAGAACTGGATCAAAGTGGGAGAAATTTGGGAACAATGGAATGAATCTAGCACATATGTCATGAATATTATTGGCTGGTGGTTGAATGTTAATGCTATTAGACTAGGTTGAAGCCAACTGTTTCCTGGTGCCCTCCTACCTCTATGGTCAATCATTATCTAACCTTTTATTGATCATCTGTCTCTACCCTTCAAATATTTGTATTTTAAAAGTGTTCTTCCTCCTTTGTGCTTGCGTTTTTCACAGTTCAATGCCTGATGTCTTCTGTCTTTTGGCTGTACTTTACTTCTAAGCCGTTGGTCCATGAATTATTTCTGTACTCTTATCTCCTTCAGATTCCTCCACAGATATCTCAAATTCAGCATGCCCAATATAATTTTATGATCATCTACTCAAACTTGCCCTTCACGATGTATTTCTTATTTGAGGATTGCTATTCCTTCAGTTGCCTCAGTTAAAAATTACGGAGTCATAGTTTCTTCCTTTCTCTTTCCAGATTGAGTCTAATTGTTTCTATTTCTGAAATATCCCTTCCTTCCATTTCAACTGCCTTTTCCAGGTCTTCATCATACCCCGCTGGGCTATCATCATGGATAGTTAACTGATATCCCTTTCCCCCTCCTTATCTCTTCTTCTCCTAGTCCGTCTTCCATACTGCTTATGGGTAAAGTTGCTTACACAATAAAATTCAAATATTTTGGAAGGGCATACTAGTCATTGTTCTCAAATGTGCTGACCACTTTTATGCTTCGGGTATTTATATGAAGCTATTTTCTTTCACCTGAATGCTCTTGACATGCTTGCCATTTTCCCTGGGAATCCCTGGGAAATTGCTCTCATTTTCACATTTCAGTTATGGGGTCACCTTTTCTGCGAAGTCTCAAGTCACCTTTTCTACTGCTCAGCAAAAGTAATTGCCCTCTCATCTGTATTATTATGACATGTTATACTTACATCTCTTTTGGAACTCTTTATATTTTTATTGCTATTAAAATCTGTGTCTGCTGCTAGATGATGATCTCCTTGGGACAAGGATTCTGACTTTCTCATCCTTATAGTCTGAAGATTTCAAAAAGTGCCTGTTGCATAATGTTAACTATTAAATTTATCAATAATGTAATGTGTATGTTTGAATGTGTGTATAGTATGTATCAGATAAATAGTATGACCCACTAATTTCAGGAGTAATACATCAAATCATAAAATGTACTAATAACGGAGGCTAGCATCACCTGTAGGAATTAGATACTGTTGTATGCAAACATCAATTCAATTATTAGAATAAGTCTAACTTTCTCTTAAATTATGCCTTTGACTAATCTGAAGAATGAGTTAGTAATATGAAAATTGATTTTTCAAATCATTTATTAAATACTATACCAATTTATATCTGATTTGATAATAAATATCACAGATATATGGCAAATTTTAAAAGAATCATTAAATAGTACAATCTGAGGACTTGATACAAATTTACTAAAAGTATTCTTTCATATTTTGGTGTCAATGTAAGAGAGATAAATAGTCACTATAAGTTAATATTTATGGTATCCTTACAGAATGTATAACATTAGTATCATAAGTTTGGGAAATAAGACATGAATGTCATTGATATAGCTAAACTCAGTATTGGAGGTATATTTATTAGTGCCTGGCACATGAGGAGCTTTACTAGATTTAAAGGAGAATGAAGAAATGAAAAAAATGCAAATGATGGTGGTTGTCTAGATTCATTGTTTGTAAACTGAAATAAAGGAAAAAGACATTTGGGAGGCTGAGGCAGGCAGATCGCTTAAGACTGGAGGAGTTTGAGACCAGCCTGAGCAACATGGCAAAACCCCGTCTCTACCAACAAAAACAAAAATTAGCCAGGCATGGTGGCATGTGCCTGTGGTGTCAGCGACTCCTGCGGCTGAGGTGGGAGAATCCCTTGTACCCAGGAGGCGGAGGTTGCAGTGAGCCATGATCATGCTACTGCACTCCAGCCTGGCTGACAGAGCGAGACACTGTCTCAAAAAAAAAATAAGAAGAAGAAGAAAAAAAGAAAAATATATTAATCAAAACAAAATAAAAAATTTAATCCCATACTAAGATCGCTCATAAATGCACTTTCCTTCAGTGGGTTTTTATTGAGTTACTGACTCATATTAGACACTGGGCTATGTCATAGTGATATAAAGTTGAATAGAAAGGACCAAAGATCCTGCCATCTAATCAAGAGATTGATGTAATACATAAATGCCATCACTTTTCTTGGGCTAGTTTCTTCACATCCTTCAGTTCATATACATTGGTTAGGATAATTTTGGCTGCTGTGACAAATTGACCAACAGAAAATGATAGAAGCTCAAACATAATAGAAGTGTTCTTCTCATTTATCAGGTGGAGGTGGAAGTAGATAGGGGAAAGATTTTGGTTCTGTTCAGTGAGCTGAGGAGAGAGACTGATGAAAGCTCTGGCATATTCATCTTGTAACGTGTAAGGGCTCCAAACAGCCAAAAGCATGGAGCTACTTCTGTGGGCCAGGCCTGGAAGTGGTGCGTTTCCCTTTTGCTCACATTCCACCTGCTAGAACTCTGTTAAATGGCTATAACCTAACTGCACAGGAGGCTGGAAATGTCATCTAGTTGAGCTGTGTGCCCAAGAAAAGGAAAAAGACTAGGATTTTGCAGTCTTTGCCCTCTCTAAAATGTCTATCATCCTCCTAAATCCAGTGCCAGTACCCCTCTGACCAGCTTCTACATAACCTTGTATTTTCACAGGATTATTAGCATCATCACATTATTTTTACATTGTCTCCTTACATTGTCCATTTCCCACTAGACTGTAAGCTCCATAAGGAAGACTGTCAGGCTTGCCTTCAGTTGAATTTCTAACTCTAACATAGTTCCTTGCAGAGTAGGCACTTAACAAATATTGGAGTTAAAGTTCTGATTTTCCTTTCTACATCTGTTATTCACTCTCAGCTCACTGGAATCCATTTCTATGCACTCTACTCTGTTGAAACTGCTCTTGCTAAATTACCAGTAAACCAACCAAAATGCTAAATGCAGCAAGTAGTCTCTGGTCTCCATCTTATTTGATTTGGCACTTTGGTACTGTCCTCTTCAAGGTTTACTTCTTAGTTTTTCAACTGTATTTTCCCAGTTCTTAGACGGACTCCTTTTCTGTGAAATTGGTGGTGCAAAGAAGAGCTCTTGGGTGTTAATAGCTTGCAACCTCAAAGGTAAAGAAGGTCTACATTTTTTTTTAATGGCAGGAGAGTGTGTTTACTCTATTAGAGAGGAAATGCTGGATGTTACAGGTAAGGCATGTGGAAAGAAAAACAGAAAGAGAGAGAGGCTCTGAGACAGAGTAAAAGAGGAGAATGAGACAGAGAGACAGAAGAAGAAAGATACACAGAAATAGCAAGAAAGAGAGAAATAGATGACAGATACACAATGAGGAAGAGGAAGAGAGAACACACAGACAGAGAGATGTAGGAACATCAAGCAGGCAGCTGAGAGATTCCCAGAGAGAAATGGAGAGACTCAAGAAACCAAAAATAATTGTTAGAGAACAATTTCGGAGGAAGCAGGATGGTACATATAGAAGTAGCTTTGAAAAGAAGCAGTAATTCTTTGTGAAACAGAAACATTGAGAAATACTATTTTTGCTTACAATAACACATGTTTGGTATGCTGTATAATATTTCATCACTAATTTTCTAAAATCATCAAATAGAGATAGAAATTTTTTTTTTTTTTTTTTTTTTTTGAGACGGTGTCTCGCTCTGTAGCCCAGGCTGGAGTGCAGTGGCGCGATCTCGGCTCACTGCAAGCTCCGCCTCCCGGGTTCACGCCATTCTCCTGCCTCAGCCTCCCGTGTAGCTGGGACTACAGGCGCGCGCCACCACGCCCGGCTAGAGATAGAAATTTGAATGGACCAAGAAATCTTTTGACCCTTGTGCTACATAGGAAAAAGCAATTGAAAGGAAAAGTAGAAAAAAATACTAGAAAAGATCACTGGACCCAGAGTAATTTTTGTAAAATTGCCACTTTTCTGCTTCGTTGTATTTTAAGGAGGATAAAACTAATTGGTAGAAGTGCTTTATCATTGATATCTTTTTTGTTTTTTTGGGTTTTTTTTGGTAAACATATTACCGGGTAGGGAATAGAAACTTAGACTTAGCTACTGTGTCCATAGTGTGCAAATTTATCCAATTGTGTTCATAGAGTTGTACTTATTTAGCAGCTCACTGTAAGTTTTTAACATTTGTATTCCTTTATTTTTGTCCTGAAAGCAAACATGGAGTTTCTGGATCAGTGGCAGAGTATTATTACTCAAGGCAATAATTATATC
Organism: Homo sapiens; assembly: GCF_000001405.40. Lineage (NCBI taxonomy): Eukaryota > Metazoa > Chordata > Mammalia > Primates > Hominidae > Homo > Homo sapiens. The sequence goes on along the minus strand of NC_000004.12, from coordinate 86,144,776 downwards.
AGTTACCCATGTCTCCTTCACTCCATTCAGTGCAATATTATAAAAGACAGATGTTATCCTACACATGCAAAGGGATTTTTGCATTATCAATAAGAAATTATGAATCTCAGAGTTTATATAAGGCCTGCTATACAGCTGCCACCTTGCTAAGAAGAGAGAGAGAAGGAAAGAGAGGGAGAGAGATCTAATTTTCCTAAAGTAAGTATTCTCTGGCAGGAGAAAGAGAAAGTCCCTATTTTACAATCATTTGGAATGTAAATGTATGCTCTGGGATTCACCCACTTTGAAATGAAAACAATTTTTTCTCTAGAGGTTCTTCTATACTCTTTAACTTCCAAGACTTGTCCTTTAACCAGATTCTTGCTTTATCTGCTCAAAGAGCCCTGACAATGCAGAAATATTAAAATATCTCTATGATGTAGGTATTATTATTTACATTAATAATGTAAAATTCCAGTCTTATAAAGTAATATTTCTGGATTCAAATAATCTTGTAAAATTTCTATTTAAAAATACTTTAAAATAACTGTATTATAAAAACAATTGTTTTTAACAACCCCTACTTAACTGGAACACAAGATCTTTTAATGTTTTACTTAAATCAATTTATAAGTGCATGTGCTGTGGCTATATACACATATGTGTTAAGTGTGCAGAAATCAAAATTACCCCCTTAAACACACCCCCCAAAAAAGATACCAGTAATTTGGCACCTTCTCACAAGAATACTGCTAACTCCTCTTGTATGCATTCAAAAAATATTTAGCAATTTAGTATGATTAATTGAAACTATGCTGTTTTCACCCTTATTCTCTAATAAGCTTAGGATCTGATAACTATTCTACTTGGTTATCAAAAAGCATGCCAGAGGAATTTTAGCTTTTGCCCATGTGAGATTTTTTTTCTCATAAAATATATGTCTGGAGAATTGAAAGAATGTGTATTAATAAGATGTTGTAAAAGAAAGTCATTCTTTATTTCATGTGTATTTCCTCATATGCAATGATTTCCTTGAGGTTGGGAATCACATCTATTTCATTATATTCCATTCCATTTAATACATTTTAATGAAGCACTTAATATGTTCCAGATACTGTGTTGTATGCTTGAGCTACTGTCATGAGCAAAAGAAGACATGGTCCTCACTCTCTTTCCAAGTTTTGGTCTAGTAAATAGAATCTGGTTGTGGGTATCTATATTACAATATACTCTGAAATATTCTAACAAAGAGACACATAGTACAGTGACTTGAACACTTCTCTCTTCCACTGAAGTCTGAGTTCCTGCATAGTTCCAGGGAATAGGACAATTCTGTTTCACAGAAACACAGGAATCCTGACAGTGTTGTTCTGTCCATGTGACCAAAGCCACTAGGGTCACATTCCAGTTTATGGAAAGAGAAAAAAAGCAAGTGGAGAGCAAGCTGTCTTTCTATAAGGATATTGATATGGTTTAGCTGTGTCTCCACCCAAAATCTCATCTTGAATTATAATCCCCATAATCCCCACATGTCAAGGGTGGGACCAGATGGAGGTCATTGGATCATGGGGACATTTTCCCCCGTGCTGTTCTTGTGATAGTGATTAAGTCTCAGGAGATCTGGTGGTTTTACAAGCATCTGGCATTTCTTCTGCTTGCACTCACTCCGTCCTGCCACCCTATGAAGAATGTGCCTGCTTCTCCTTTGCCTTCTGCCATGATTGTAAGTTTCCTGAGACCTCCCCAACAATGTGGAACTGCGAGTCAATTAAACCTCTTTCCTTTATAAATTACCCAGTATCAGGTATTTCCTCATAGCAGCATGAGAATGGACTAATACAGATATGACCTAGAAGTTGAATATTTCTCTTCTGCCCTCACCCATTGTCTTGAACCTAATCTAGCTGTAAGGAAAGCTGGAAATATATAGTTAGCTGAATGCCATGTGTCTGTGTAAAACTAGGGAAGTTCTTATAACCATGAGGAGGGAGGGAATGGATCTTGGGAGACCATTAGACTCTGAAATAGCAAATCTTCCATTTCTGGATCTGGTAACTGATATCCAGTCCCTCTCCTTGTTCATCTGACTTTGATGTATGGGCTTTGCTTCAAATCAGTGTGGGTTTTACTTCTTGATCCTTCTAAATTGTGTCCCAGCCAGCTGCATTATATGGATTAGAGCCAATAGCTTCTCAAGAAATAAAACAATCTAACATAATTTATATGACAAATGAAATAACTAGTGTCTTGCTAGAATGATGCAATCACCCTGTTTGTCTCCCTCACCCTGTTTTCCCAAGACCTATCACAGTGTCTTGAACATAAGAGATACTGGAAAAAAAAACCTTCATTGAATGAATGAATGAATGATGAATGAATCCTCTAGAATGTAAATGGATAGCTCTGGGTTTCACCTGCTTTGAAATATAAACATGTGTCTCTCTGGCAGTCTCTCTTTATTCATTCTTTAACTTCCAAGGCTTGTCCATTAACGCAGCTCCAGTTTTCTTCGTTTAGCAAACCCTACCGATGCATAAACATTAGCATACCTCTCTGAGGTAGGTACTTGCTGTGGTTTGAATATGTTTTGTTTTTCCCACCAAAACTCATGTTGAAATTTGATCCCTGGTGTGTGGTTGTTGGGATGTGGGGCCTAGTGGGAAGTGTTTAGGTTTGGCGGTGGATCCCTCATTAACTTCTTGGTGCAGTTCTTACAGTAGTGAGTGAATTTTTGCTCTTGAGAGATTGGATTAATTCTTGCAGGAATAGATCAGTTCCCAAGAAAGTGGGTCGTTTTAAAGCCAGGATGCCCCTCAGTTTTCCTCCTCTTTGCACATGTTCACTTTCCCTTTGATGGTCTCTGCCATGTTGTGACACAGCACAAAAGCCCTTGCCACAAGCCAGGGCCATGCCCTGGAACTTCTCAGCCTGCAGAACCATGAGCTAAATAAACTTCTTTTCAATTACCCAGTCTCAGGTGTTCTATTATAGCAACACAAAATGGACTAAGATAGGACTGTCATACATATTAGTAATGTAAAATTCTAGCCTTTAGCACATAAAGAAACTTATAGGCTACATTTTAGATTTAGCCTATACATTTGCTCAATGTGTATTTTTAAAAGTGTATTCTCTATCAATAAATTCTACAGAGCTTTTTCTCCCATAGACTCTGTAAAATATCCAGGCCTATATTATTATTACCCCAGGAATGGCTTTTCTTTCTGTTTTAAGATGCTATAGCGCAATGTTAATTTCTTTTTCTTGCATTCTATAACTGATAGTCTTTGCTATAATAAGAGAATGGTGTCTTAAACTTCTTCTGGCTAGAAAGAGTAAGCTACCAGTGGTGTAGAAACTGAAGACAGAATACTCCCCCACACTGAATAAAGATGTGGACTTCATGACACAATTTCCTCAGGTTAAAAAAGCTCAGGGGGTTATCTTGGGTCACTAGATTTGAGGCATTTGCTGTAGCTCTTTGTGCCTTGTTCAGCAGTTAACTATCTCATGTTCACCATAGGACTATCATTTTAATATTTTTTGTAAGATACCAGTGTCATGTTTTTGTAAACTATATCCTTTCTGTAAGGTAATGAATCATTCTGAGCTTGACTTGTATGTTGTGGTGTGGGTGAACTCTTTAGAACATGGTACAAGGCCTTTTAAAACCTAAGTCACAAATAAGCTGAATGACTTTGAACAAGTTAATTGTATTTTTAGGCCTTAATTTCCTCATGTCTAAATAAAATGAGGGTATTGGGTATTGGTTCAATGATTAATGGTCTTTCTAGCTAAAAATTCAGTCTGGATATGTAGATTATTTGCTATTTAGAGAAATGCATAATTTATGTTTCCTTCCTTTTTGAAAATTGCTGTTGACAAACACAGTGCTTTTGACACTTTGCAAAGTATTTATTGTGCATCTAGTAAGAAACTGAACTTGGGAGCCTGGGAAGTAATTACTAAGTCTCTAGCAGCCAATAGTTATGCGTGCATGCGTGTGTGTGTGTGTATTTGTGCACACCTGCCTGTGCATACACATGTATGTGTAATTTGTAGCTGGTTGAAATCAGAATGCATACATAAATTTCCTTTAATTTTTTTTTTTATTATTATACTTTAAGTTTTAGGGTACATGTGCACATTGTGCAGGTTAGTTACATATGTATACATGTGCCATGCTGGTGTGCTGCACCCACTAACTCGTCATCTAGCATTGGGTATATCTCCCAGTGCTATCCCTCCCCCCTCCCCCCACCCCACAATAGTCCCCAGAGTGTGATGTTCCCCTTCCTGTGTCCATGTGTTCTCATTGTTCAATTCCCACCCATGAGTGAGAACATGCGGTGTTTGGTTTTTTGTCCTCGCAATAGTTTACTGTGAATGATGATTTCCAATTTCATCCATGTCCCTACAAAGGACATGAACTCATCATTTTTTATGGCTGCATAGTATTCCATGGTGTATATGTGCCACATTTTCTTAATCCAGTCTATCATTGTTGGACATTTGGGTTGGTTCCAAGTCTTTGCTATTGTGAATAGTGCCGCAATAAACATACGTGTGCATGTGTCTTTATAGCAGCATGATTTATAGTCCTTTGGGCATATACCCAGTAATGGGATGGCTGTGTCAAATGGTATTTCTAGTTCTAGATCCCTGAGGAGTCGCCACACTGACTTCCACAATGGCTGAACTACTTTACAGTCCCACCAACAGTGTAAAAGTGTTCCTATTTCTCCACATCCTCTCCAGCACCTGTTGTTTCCTGACTTTTTAATGATTGCCATTCTAACTGGTGTGAGATGGTATCTCATTGTGGTTTTGATTTGCATTTCTCTGATGGCCAGTGATGATGAGCATTTTTTCATGTGTCTTTTGGCTGCATAAATGTCTTCTTTTGAGAAGTGTCTGTTCATGTCCTTCGCCCACTTTTTGATGGGGTTGTTTGTTTTTTTCTTGTAAATTTGTTTGAGTTCATTGTAGATTCTGGATATTAGCCCTTTGTCAGATGAGTAGGTTGAGAAAATTTTCTCCCATTTTGTATGTTGCCTGCTACTCTGATGGTAGTTTCTTTTGCTGTGCAGAAGCTCTTTAGTTTAATTAGATCCCATTTGTCAATTTTGTCTTTTGTTGCCATTGCTTTTGATGTTTTAGACATGAAATCCTTGCCCATGCCTATGTCCTGAATGGTAATGCCTTGGTTTTCTTCTAGGGTTTTTATGGTTTTAGGTCTAACGTTTAAGTCTTTAATCCATCTTGAATTGACTTTTGTATAAGGTGTAAGGAAGGGATCCAGTTTCAGCTTTCTACATATGGCTAGCCAGTTTTCCCAGCACCATTTATTAAATAGGGAATCCTTTCCCCATTGCTTGTTTTTCTCAGGTTTGTCAAAGATCAGATAGTTGTAGATATGCGGCGTTATTTCTGAGGGCTCTGTTCTGTTCCATTGATCTACATCTCTGTTTTGGTACCAGTAACATGCTGTTTTGGTTACTGTAGCCTTGTAGTATAGTTTGAAGTTAGGTAGTGTGATGCCTCCAGCTTTGTTCTTTTGGCTTAGGATTGACTTGGCGATGCGGGCTCTTTTTTGGTTCCATATGAACTTTAAAGTAGTTTTTTCCAATTCTGTGAAGAAAGTCATTGGTAGCTTGATGGGGATGGCATTGAATCTGTAAATTACCTTGGGCAGTATGGCCATTTTCACGATATTGATTCTTCCTACCCATGAGCATGGAATGTTCTTCCATTTGTTTGTATCCTCTTTTATTTCTTTGAGCAGTGGTTTGTAGTTCTCCTTGAAGAGGTCCTTCACATCCCTTGTAAATTGGATTCCTAGGTATTTTATTCTCTTTGAAGCAATTGTGAATGGGAGTTCACTCATTATTTGGCTGTTTGTCTGTTGTTGGTGTATAAGAATGCTTGTGATTTTTGCACATTGGTTTTGTATCCTGAGACTTTGCTGAAGTTGCTTATCAGCTTAAGGAGATTCTGGGCTAAGACAATGGGGTTTTCTAGATATACAGTCATGTCATCTGCAAACAGGGACAATTTGACTTCCTCTGTTCCTAATTGAATACCGTTTATTTCCTTCTCCTGCCTAATTGCCCTGGCCAGAACTTCCAACACTATGTTGAATAGGAGTGGTGAGAGAGGGCATCCCTGTCTTGTGCCAGTTTTCAAAGGGAATGCTTCCAGTTTTTGCCCATTCAGTATGATATTGGCTGTGGGTTTGTCATAGATAGCTCTTATTATTTTGAAATACGTCCCATCAATACCTAATTTATTGAGAGTTTTTAGCATGAAGGGTTGTTGAATTTTGTCAAAGGCTTTTCCTGCATCTATTGAGATAATCATGTGGTTTTTGTCTTTGGCTCTGTTTATATGCTGGATTACATTTATTGATTTGCGTATATTGAACCAGCCTTGCATCCCAGGGATGAAGCCCACTTGATCATGGTGGATAAGCTTTTTGATGTGCTGCTGGATTCGGTTTGCCAGTATTTTATTGAGGATTTTTGCATCAATGTTCATCAAGGATATTGGTCTAAAATTCTCTTTTTTGGTTGTGTCTCTGCCCGGCTTTGGTATCAGAATGATGCTGGCCTCATAAAATGAGTTAGGGAGGATTCCCTCTTTTTCTATTGATTGGAATAGTTTCAGAAGGAATGGTACCAGTTCCTCCTTGTACCTCTGGTAGAATTCGGCTGTGAATCCATCTGGTCCTTGACTCTTTTTGGTTGGTAAACTATTGATTATTGCCACAATTTCAGCTCCTGTTATTGGTCTATTCAGAGATTCAACTTCTTCCTGGTTTAGTCTTGGGAGAGTGTATGTGTCGAGGAATTTATCCATTTCTTCTAGATTTTCTAGTTTATTTGCGTAGAGGTGTTTGTAGTATTCTCTGACGGTAGTTTGTATTTCTGTGGGATCGGTGGTGATATCCCCTTTATCATTTTTTATTGTGTCTATTTGGTTCTTCTCTCTTTTTTTCTTTATTAGTCTTGCTAGCGGTCTATCAATTTTGTTGATCCTTTCAAAAAACCAGCTCCTGGATTCATTAATTTTTTGAAGGGTTTTTTGTGTCTCTATTTCCTTCAGTTCTGCTCTGATTTTAGTTATTTCTTGCCTTCTGCTAGCTTTTGAATGTGTTTGCTCTTGCTTTTCTAGTTGTTTTAATTGTGATGTTAGGGTGTCAATTTTGGATCTTTCCTGCTTTCTCTTGTGGGCATTTAGTGCTATAAATTTCCCTCTACACACTGCTTTGAATGCATCCCAGAGATTCTGGTATGTTGTGTCTTTGTTCTCGTTGGTTTCAAAGAACATCTTTATTTCTGCCTTCATTTCGTTATGTACCCAGTAGTCATTCAGGAGCAGGTTGTTCAGTTTCCATGTAGTTGAGTGGTTTTGAGTGAGATTCTTAATCCTGAGTTCTAGTTTGATTGCACTGTGGTCTGAGAGATAGTTTGTTATAATTTCTGTTCTTTTACATTTGCTGAGGACAGCTTTACTTCCAAGTATATGGTCAATTTTGGAGTAGGTGTGGTGTGGTGCTGAAAAAATGTATATTCTGTTGATTAGGGGTGGTGAGTTCTGTAGATGTCTATTAGGTCCGCTTGGTGCAGAGCTGAGTTCAATTCCTGGGTATCCTTGTTGACCTTCTGTCTCGTTGATCTGTCTAATGTTGACAGTGGGGTGTTAAAGTCTCCCATTATTAATGTGTGGGAGTCTAAGTCTCTTTGTAGGTCACTCAGGACTTGCTTTATGAATCTGGGTGCTCCTGTATTGGGTGCATATATATTTAGGATAGTTAGCTCTTCTTGTTGAATTGATCACTTTACCATTATGTAATGGCCTTCTTTGTCTCTTTTCATCTTTGTTGGTTTAAAATCTGTTTTATCAGAGACTAGGATTACAACCCCTGCCTTTTTTTGTTTTCCATTGGCTTGGTAGATCTTCCTCCATCCTTTTATTTTGAGCCTATGTGTGTCTCTGCACGTGAGATGGGTTTCCTGAATACAGCACACTGTTGGGTCTTGACTCTTTATCCAATTTGCCAGTCTGTGTCTTTTAATTGGAGCATCTAGTCCATTTACATTTAAAGTTAATATTGTTATGTGTGAATTTGATCCTGTCATTATGATGTTAGCTGGTGATTTTGCTCGTTAGTTGATGCAGTTTCTTCCTAGTCTCGGTGGTCTTTACATTTTGGCATGATTTTGCAGTGGCTGGTACTGGTTGTTCCTTTCCATGTTTAGCGCTTCCTTCAGGAGCTCTTTTAGGGCAGGCCTGGTGGGACAAAATCTCTCAGCATTTGCTTGTCTGTAAAGTATTTTATTTCTCCTTCACTTATGAAGCTTAGTTTGGCTGGATATGAAGTTCTGGGTTGAAAATTCTTTTCTTTAAGAATGTTGAATATTGGCCCCCACTCTCTTCTGGCTTGTAGGGTTTCTGCTGAGAGATCCACTGTTAGTCTGATGGGCTTCCCTTTGTGGGTAACCCGACCTTTCTCTCTGGCTGCCCTTAACATTTTTTCCTTTATTTCAACTTTGGTGAATCTGACAATTATGTGTTTTGGAGTTGCTCTTCTCGAGGAGTATCTTTGTGGCATTCTCTGTGTTTCCTGAATGTGAACGTTGGCCTGCCTTGCTAGACTGGGGAAGTTCTCCTGGATAATATCCTGCAGAGTGTTTTCCACCTTGGTTCCATTCTCCCCATCACTTTCAGGTACACCAATCAGACGTAGATTTGGTCTTTTCACATAGTCCCATATTTCTTGGAAGCTTTGTTCATTTCTTTTTATTCTTTTTTCTCTAAACTTCCCTTCTTGCTTCATTTCATTCATTTCATCTTCCATTGCTGATACCCTTTCTTCCAGTTGATCGTATCGGCTCCTGAGGCTTCTGCATTCTTCATGTAGTTCTCGAGCCTTGGTTTTCAGCTCCATCAGCTCCTTTAAGCACTTCTCTGTATTAGTTATTCTAGTTATACATTCTTCTAAATTTTTTTCAAAGTTTTCAACTTCTTTGCCTTTTGTTTGAATGTCCTCCCATAGCTCAGTAATTTGATCGTCTGAAGCCTTCTTCTCTCAGCTCGTCAAAGTCATTCTCCATCCAGCTTTGTTCCGTTGCTGGTGAGGAACTGAGTTCCTTTGGAGGAGGAGAGGCGCTCTGCTTTTTAGAGTTTCCGGTTTTTCTGTTCTGTTTTTTCCCCATCTTTGTGGTTTTATCTACTTTTGGTCTTTGATGATGGTGATGTACAGATGGGTTTTTGGTGTGGATGTCCTTTCTGTTTGTTAGTTTTCCTTCTAACAGACAGGACCCTCAGCTGAAGGTCTGTTGGAGTACCCTGCCGTGTGAGGTTTCAGTGTGCCCCTGCTGGGGCGGTGCCTCCCAGTTAGGCTGCTCGGGGGTCAGGGGTCAGGGACCCACTTGAGGAGGCAGTCTGCCCCTTCTCAGATCTCCAGCTGTATGCTGGGAGATCCACTGCTCTCTTCAAAGCTGTCAGACAGGGACATTTAAGTCTGCAGAGGTTACTGCTGGCTTTTTGTTTGTCTGTGCCCTGCCCCCAGAGGTGGAGCCTCCAGAGGCAGGCAGGCCTCCTTGAGCTGTGGTGGGCTCCACCCAGTTGGAGCTTCTAGGGTGCTTTGTTTACCTAAGCAAGCCTGGGCAATGGCGGGCGCCCCTCCCCCAGCCTCGCTGCTGCCTTGCAGTTTGATCTCAGACTGCTGTGCTAGGAATCAGCAAGACTCCTTGGGCATAGGACCCTCCGAGCCACGTGCGGGATATAATCTCGTGGTGCGCCGTTTTTTAAGCCCGTCGGAAAAGCGCAGTATTCAGGTGGGAGTGACCCGATTTTCCAGGTGCCATCCGTCACCCCTTTCTTTGACTAGGAAAGGGAACTCCCTGACCCCTTGCACTTCCCGAGTGAGGCAATGCCTCGCCCTGCTTCGGCTCGTGCATGGTGCGTGCACCCACTGACCTGCGCCCACCGTCTTGGCACTCCCTAGTGAGATGAACCTGGTACCTCAGATGGAAATGCAGAAATCACTGTCTTCTGTGTCGCTCACGCTGGGAGCTGTAGACTGGAGCTGTTCCTATTCGGCCATCTTGGCTCCTCCCCCCAATTTTACTTTAATTTGAATGACAAAGATAATATGTAATTATTACCACTAAAAGTAATATTTTTTCATTTTCCTAACTTCTTATGATTTGGAAATTTTGAAATAACTGAATGTTGTTATCAGCTTACACATCAAATACAAGTAACAAACTGGAAAAAGTATGTGTGGTGTGTGGCAATATGATAATGAAATAGAGGGCAGGGGTGGAGACTTTAATGCAGTTTTGCAAAATCTGATTATTAATTGCTATTAATGGAGTTTGAGTTAGATATTTTCAATTTTTCAGAGAAATTTTCAATTTGTCTGGCTGGCTAGATTAGTGGTCTATAAATATATAATGTAGTTATCACACTTCTAGTTTCCTTGAAAATATACATAGGAAGGGAATGGTTAATGAAATTAGAGCTACAGATACTTAATTTGTAGAGAGATTGGCTCTTCAGGGAGATGAAAGATATCTTCAAATATTTGAAGTCACAAGTGTCAATAAATGTGTAGACTTACTCAGCTTGACTCCAGAGCACATTCACAGAATTAATAGGACTTAGATTTTGGCTCAATGTAAGAAAATAATTTTATCAGAGTGAAAGCTATTCATCATGGGTTGGCTTCCTTGTGAAGGTGTAAGCAGTTGGTGACTGATAGTTTGCATGCAAAAGATGGCCAGATGAACATTTCTTAGGAATATTGTACTTTACATAGAATTTCTTCATTTGGTAGAATGTTGGATTAAATGAAATCTTAAATTTTCATCCCATTCTAAGATTACATATTTTTTTGTTACCCGAGAATCATTATTTATGGACTACCAATGCTTTTAAGCAAAGAATCTCTAGCCACGATGTGTCTGAGGTACTTTGATGTTCAGATTTGGAATGGGTTATCTCCTCAACTTATTTACCACATGGTCAGTAAGGACTGACTTAATCTCAGTTGGAGCCACCAGCAAGATGTCTGGCTCAACACCCAAAATCTGAGCCAAAAGTTCTGGCTAAGTGTGATAGATTCATACGTGTTAATACCCACAAAAAGAGTTTTTTAGAGTTCAAATTCTCTTCTAAACATAAAACTGTAGACACATTTATTTGAGAAAGGTCAAGTAGTTTAGTTCTAGCTCTTGGTCATACCCTGTAAACTGTTTTGGCTGTAGGCATTAAAAATTTTTATGTTGCAGACAGGAAAATTTGTATTATGATTGCACATTAAGCTTATAAAATTTTGGAGCTCCCTCTTTAAGAAAAATCACAAATACAAAATTAAGAATGAAAGTGAATTATTTACTTAGAATAAATACATTACAACAAATCACAAATTGTAAAAAAGCTGATAAATACCACAGAATCATAAAATCTAAAAAGATAATACTTTATTTTTCAGCTCTCTGATATAATACCCTTTTTACTATATACTTTTGGCTGCATACTCTTTTAATATGTCTCCACATGAAGATGATTTTGTAATATCATTATCTGTAGAGAAAACAGAAATTCAGTATCTTCCATACTATGATCAGTTTAAACATATCTTTTGTTATTGATAGTTTGGAAAATATTTTTTTCAGCTTCACAATTCATTACTGATAATGTCATATACATGTTTAGAATTGTCAAATTTGAGTGGTCTCCAACCTTTTTGGCACCAGGGACCGATTTCGTGGAAGACAGTTTTTCCATGGGCCTGGGGCTTGAGGGGTGGTTTGGGGATGATTCAAGCACATTACATTTATTGTGCACTTTATTTCTATCATTATTACATTGTAATATATAATGACATAATAATACAACTCATCATAATGTAGAATCAGTGGGAGCCCTGAACTTGTTTTCCTGCAGCTAGATGGTCCCATCTGAGGTTATAGGAGACAGTGACAGATCATCAGATATTAGATCCTCACAAGGAGTGTTCAACCTAGATCCCTCATATGCGCAGTTCACAATAGGGTGCACGCTCCTATGAGAATCTAATGCTGACGATGATTTCACAGGGGACAGAGCTCAGGTTGTAATGTGAGTCATGGTGAGTGGCTGTAAATACAGTTGAAGCTTTGCTTGCTCACCCACAGCTCACCTCCTACTGTGTGGCCCGGTTGGGGACCCTTGTCTTATATTATTTATAAGTTAAAGGAATTGGAATAGAACTTAAGATCAGAAAATATTAGAGGTAAATTTTTGTTGACTTCATGACAAAAATCAGTTGGACTTAGCCTTAAAAATGCATTTTTATGACTAACATAGTCAATGTATAGTTTCAAAGGCACATGACCTGTTATTCCTCAATAAGGTAAATATATTTGGTTATATGCATTTCCCAATACAAAAAAATGTGTTCAGTTTGAGTTTTCTTTTCAACAGTCGATAAAGGGCAACATAAAATCATTAGAGGAATAACTACTCTACTACTCAATATTTTAACTCAACATACATCAGTAATAAAGTTACAGAAGATTTATATCCAAGTTTCATACATGTATCAATGATTAAATAATTAGGTTATTAACTCATCGAGACCTTTATGAACTAGGTTATTAACTCATTGAGACCTTTATGAACTAAGAATTATATCCAAGTTTCATATATGTATGAATAGTTAAATAAGTAAGTTATTAACTCATTGAGATCTTTATTAACTCATTTAGACTTTATGGACTAGGACCAGCAGTGTATCGTCTACTGACTAGAAGCAGAAAGGAGATGAGATAACCCTTGGAGTTAAGTTCCAGTTTTGTATTCCTTTAGGTTCATATTTGATAATCTTTTCTGATCTGGTACATTTCAATTTATTTCGTGGCTTTTATCAAGCATTTTGGCTGTGTTTTCTCAGTGTTTCAGAGTCCTATTTCATAATGTAAATGTAGCATTTTGATAGTCCATGTTAGCTCATCCATATAAAATGCTATTTGCATCGTCTCGTAAATAACATTATTTTAAAATATTTAGTGTAAAGAAGAACACTTTTTAATGTTAACATTTTACATTACTTACTGGCCTACAAACAGGATTTATGCTGAAACAATTGACTAATTGCATTCTTGGCACAACATGCTGCCAGTAATTCAATCATAGAGTTGTGAAGCCTCTTTTTTTCTTTTTATTTTCTACCTTGAAACTGTAATAAAGCTATAGTCTATGATAAAAACTGGGGGAGAATTATAATTCTTGTTGTAAAAGTACAGCAATTAGTCCAGATGCTAGGATAAATCCCTAGCTAAGTAGGTCCATTCCTAACTGTGCTTTTCAGAACTGATAGATTAATCTCGAAATACAGTTTGGGTTTTATTAAATCCTCAAGTTCAATCCCACATTCTGCAGTAATAATTCTTCATGTTTATTATTTTCTCTACTCCTCTTAAACACTTAAACTGTCTGTATGCCTGTTAGCTAGATAATAAAAACAAAACAGGCAAAAACACCCACTAGGTCTTGTTTGTGCGTGTTTTTCATCTATCAAAATGAAAGTAAGTTAACCATCTCAATTCCTTGAAATTTTTTGTTTCTAGAAAAAGTGAAACATTTGATTTGATACTAGCACTTATTTTCAGTAATTCTCCAACCACCTACAATCTGCCATAATTTATCTGTCCCTGACTACCCTCATGTACTCATTTCCCTCCTTATACTGCTTAGATCTTGTGCCTTATATTATGATCTATCCCATTTATAAGCTTTCACTATCTTCCCCTCTTTCTTCTTGGCAAAATTAAAATACTTGTTCAGTCCAGCTCCTCAGCACTAGAATCTGTGAACAAGCCTGGAGAAAAACATTCAGATTGTATGGTCTCTTCTAAATTTAATACCAACAGGAATGACTGAGCCTTTATCACTGTTCAGGATCTCCAGCCCATTTACATTCCTACTGCCCTAAGTGACAATTTCATTCCTTCACCTCTTCCTCAAAACCCCAACATCTTCTTCCCCATCCTGTGTCTTATCTGAAAATCTTGCTTCCCATTTCACAGCAAAACTAAAGTCTATCAGAAATGAATATCCATAAGCTCTTGGCTCCCACCACATTTACCATGGACTAACATCTGAATCCCTTTAATCTACTTTCCCTGCTGATGCTATGCACAAAGTATTTTATCGTATGTAAGCCAATCTTGCTCTTGCGATTAGACCACATTTCATTTGGTCACCTCAAGAACATTTATCTAGCAATTATTCTCTTTGTCATTCTCTATATTTCCTTAAAATAAGACCTTTCCATTAGCATCTAGTATTTTCTCCTTTTGACCTAATTATTTGTTTAGTTTGAATCTATCTTATATTCCTCAATATGGTATAGTTCTTTGAGTACAAGAAACTTCTACTTTGCTTGATCAGCAAGTTTTTGCTGGACTATAACACATGACATGGTTTATTAGCATTTAAATTTAACCTCATATGAAGTTTTTTATATTATCTAAATAAAAATGTCCAATAAGTAAAAAAGGAGACATTCCAGAAGATCAGTAAATTGTTGTTGAATAAATGAAGAGATAGCTCACAACAACTTGAAATGAACTTGATTGTCAAAAGTGAGTATCAGCTCAAATTAAAAAGAAATGCTACAATAGAATTTCATTTCCCTGTAGCACTTAGTCAAAAGAAAAAGAGATATTATTTTTGTAATCCCAGAGGACACAAAACTTAAGTATTGAAATGGTTTCACATATGCAGCAGTCATTGAATCTACGCATGTGCACACATTCATACACACGTTTTCATTTTTGCCAATAGCCCAGAAAGAATATTGGTGAGAAGAGAATTTTTGTAATTTTTAAAGTGAGTCTTGCAGATTCTGACCTATCTCCAAACTTAAGCTGCATCACAAAAGAGTGCATAGATAAATCTCTTTTCTATTTTTGAGCTTATTAATGTTTGCTGCCTCATGTTCCCAAACTGAGCACACACAAAACCACAAAAGCAGGATGCATTGGGGAGGGCTGTTAAAACCAGCTGGTCAGGAAATCCATTTGGGGTCAGTAAACTGGCTGCTAATGACACCAACCAACAGGAAAAAGGTAGAGAGTACAAGAGCAGGACGTGCATTTAGGAGTAAAATCAATACTCGTATTTGATTGGTGTGATACTTTTTAGGTAATTGTGCAAAGAAATCCCAATATGTAGTCTCAAAGTGCCAACTTCAATCTTGGTTTAAAATACTTAGAGAAATATTAATAGGTTATGTGAGAAGACTACTATATGGACCAAACCTTGTCTTGACAATCTTCATGTTTATTTAAAACAAACAAAAACCAGCTAACAATTGCAGAATTTGTTAGCCTTTTATCTGGTTTTACTACGTTTCTCAAACACATTGGTCTTATCAAAAATAATTTTGTGACTTTTATATGCTTTTGGCTTTTAGTATTTTCTGGAAGCTCAATTTTTGTTTCTTTTACAAGCACAAAGATGCTTATGTAAAGTTTCAATAAGAGAAAATTCTACCATAAACTAATTGTTTTGTGAGCACATTATTTAACCACCATGGGACTCAGTTTCCTTATCTCTACTGGTTTGCCAAATGTCTGTAAAAATACAGCAAGTTAATGCTAACATCTGTCCAGAAAGTAAGTCTAACTTCTAGTTATTAACATGAAATTATTTTTCTATCATCAACTCTTTCAATTATCTAAATAAATATTATTTAACTCTTTGTTGACCAAGTGAATAAATGAACAAATTAACTGTAAAATTAGAATCAGAAAGGCATATAGGAATTTTCTTGTTTACACTATTCATTATAATGAGAATTATACTGCCGTCTTAGTGGAATAGCTTGCAAATATTTAGTTTTTGCTTTAATAATAAGGAAAGTTTAAAATGTTGAAAATTCTAATAACCTTAGAAAACCAAGGGAAAATTAATAGTTGTCATGCATCACAGCAAGTGATGTCAGTTATATCTTAATTTTTCCAATATGTGTTGTGCTCCTATATATTTATAATAAAAAATTTACTTCTTATTTCTAAATAATTTCAAACTTATGGAAAAATAGCAAACATAGTAAAAAGGACTACAACAAGATTATAATTGTATTAATCCATTCTCATGCTGTTAAAAAAGTCATACCCAAGACTTGGTAACTTATAAAGAAAAGAGATTTAATTGGCTCACAGCTCAGGATGGCTGGGGAGGCCTTCAGGAAAATTACAATCATGGCAGAAGGGGAAGCAAACACGTCCTTCTTCACATGGTGGCAGAAAGGAGAAGAATGAGAGACCAGCAAAGGGGGAAGCCCCTTATAAAACCATCAGATCTCATAAGAACTAACTCACTATCATGAGAACAGGATGGGGAAACCGGCCCATGATTAAATTACCTCCATCTGGTCCCTCTCAGGACACGTGGGGATTATGGGAACTACAATTCAAGATGAGATTTGGCGGGGACACAGCCAAACCATATCAATAGTAATACTTACTTCATATGGTTTTAGTGAGAATCAAGTTACTCATGTATGTAAAGCATTAAGAACTTTAGAAACAAATGAGTTGGGAGCAAAAGTGCTTATAACTAAAAAAATTATTCATTATTATTAAGTCTTGATTTTGGCACTTGAACAACAAGAGTGCCTATCTTATAGGACTATTGGATGCATAAAACTTAGAAACCCATGGTTTTTCCAGTCTAAGCTAATGACAGCCTGTGCTATATATATAATAAAACTTACTGAAAGAAATCTAATCCCAGTGCCTAAAATTATTTGAGTAACACTACAATAAAATAAAAAATCCCTACATATAGTTTTTTAAAACCTAGAGTCAACAATTATATCTAGTCTTTACATTGTAGGCTTCCCTAAGTTTCACATTGATAGTGATCAATGTGAGGGTAAGTTTAGTTGATCTCTGCTAAAATGAATGCAGCAAATTATTTGATATTTGGAAAACATTTACTGGTGGAAGAAAATGCAGTTACCTTGTCATTATATAGAATAAGCTATATAATAAAATTTTGGTAAAGAGAACAAAATCTATTTGTTAATCTCACACTTTTCAAACTGGAGTCTTTGTGCCTCAGGGTGAGGGCCAGGCAGGGAAGTTGCAGGTACAATGTGCCAGGAGTAGTCAAAGCCACAGGAGAAACATGGCAAGCCTTCCTGAAATCCAAATTTTAGGAGAAGATGAAGTGTTATGGGGAAATGAGATTTCATATTAAAACAAACATATCCTAATTATATACATATTTAATTCCATGTATATGGAATTAAAATACACATTTTTTCAGAATTTTAAAGTATGAAAACTAGTTAAAGCCTATTTGAGTCATGTTCATAGAAATCTAAGGACTATATATTCACTCTCCTCTGGTGTTAGGAGTACATCAATCATCAATTAGTTTACTTGTGTAACAATTATTTATTTAAGGCTAACTATATGCCAGACACTGTACTATGCTCTCAATGCAAAAGTGAGCAATACAGATATGGTCCCTGCCCTTATGGGGCTTACAGTCAAGTAGTAGGATGCTTTTTTTTTTTTTTTTTAATTAAGCTAACTTAATTCTCCTAACAACTTTATGAGGTGAATTCTATTAGTTATTTTATTCATGTTGTGTTACTTAGGACATAACAGTGCTTTAAATACAACAAGCAGGATTTTCAAACACAAAATAATGTGCAGGGATAGTCTAATTTAGATGAGATTTTATGAGGATGATGAGGTATGGATTGGAGGAAAGCGAGGTTTAATGCAGAGACTATATAAGGGGCAGTTTCTAGTGTAACACATGGTGATGGAAATAGAATTAGAGTGAAGTGGTTCAATTTGAAAATATACACTGGAGGTACAAATAGGCCTTGGATATGGGGAAATCACGGATTGGATATGGGGAAATCACATGAGGAAAACAAAAATAACTTCCCAACTTGAACAAATGGGTATTTGAACAATAGATTGGAGGAGGGCGATTTAAGGTTAAAGAGAAATCAGTTTGGGGCATACTAATTTTAAGATATTTCTAAGACATCCAATTAGAGGTGTTCAGTTGTATATATAAATATGTATACTTATACAGTTGTATACAATACAGTATGTTAGGACCTTTGGGAAAAATATCTTAGCTAGAGATAAAATCTTGGCATCTTGAGTAACACAGCATTAAATTAATATACGCTAGCTTAGATTATTTAAACTTGTGTCCTTTATTTTATCCAGTGCCCCTTTTCTAACATATTTAAAGCTTTGGAAATAAACATTTGGCATTAGTGAATATAATTTCATGCAACAAACATGTAGGGGATACAGAGCTAAGTCCTTCAGGATTTCAGCCATTAAGTAGCACAACTTTGAGGATAGATAAAAATGTGATAAAACATAATAGATGACAAGTATATCATAATTATGATACAAATAAACTGCTGCAAAGGTAGAATACAATTTATAAATGTCAGCCTGGATAGTGATTGAGTATGGGAAGTAAAACAAGAAAAGATAAAGAATAGACAAAGAGGGACAGAGCAGTAACAAAGGAAAGAAGTCCAGGGGCCTACAAAATAGCTAAAATATATTTTCCAGAGGCAAGAGATGTTAGGAGTCATGCATAGTTGGCAGTGCTGCATCAGTTGTCAGACTAGTGGAGGACAATCATAAAGTCAGAGACACTGTGCTGGGGTAGGCTTTAAGGAAGGAAAAGTAGGCCCATGGGCTGGGCAATGAAGTTTATTTCTATCGTAATTATATGTCCTGCATGTAGGAATCATTTCTAATTCCTGTGGGTCACTTAATGAATCTCATCAATTTTACAGGTCTCAAGAAAGCACCAACCTGTGAGCCAAAGGAGCCATCTTAATGTCTTTAGGTCATTAATTTTATACATAGCATGTTCTTTACTACAAGGCTACTTTGAGAGTCACTGTGTCACTGTTGGGCTTCTGGCATAAATAAAGTTAACATAATATACTCAATAAACTCTTTCACTCCTTAGCTAACTCCAACATCATCCAGACACTGATGCTCATCCAAGTTGCCATGTAGATTTATAAGAAGAATCTTGTTAAGATAAAATAACTAAACATAAATAATACTTTAAATTTTATTGCCATGAAATGGCCAAAGGTAGGAATGTAGCAGTAACCCCGGAAGAGCAGTCCTTAGTTCTAACTCTTTTTCTTGGGGGAGTGACATGTAAAAGCCTCTTCAACCAGAAGCACAGTGCCCTTGAGCAGCAGGGGAGCATATCACTTATATCTAAAAGGGAATATTTTGTCAATGAAAGTACATGCTAAAATATATTATATTGATGGTCGTAAAAATAATGTTATTAGAAATTGTTTTAAACAAACATTTTTGAAAATGAAAATAAAAATAGTTAATATTTTATAACTTATATGAATTGCCTAATTTTTTTTAATGAGAAGAATAATTACTGTGGTACATCTCATGTATATTAATCTGCTGAAATTTCTGATATTTTTCTGAAGTCAGCTTTTTAATATGAATTTATTATTCTTAAGTTTTAATGAAACTTCTGGGAATCTTCAAAATTGCTTGTTATGGTTAATAAATTTGAAATATTGACACATTTAATATATATAACAATATTTTTATTTGAAAAATGTTCTCAAAAGGGGCTTAGGTATCTGCTAAGAACAAATTTTGCTAAATTGAAAATATTCTTTTTATTAATTGAAAATATTTTTAATTCTAATGTATTTTTGCATTGTAATGTAAAAGTATTTGAGTCCAAGGTTTTTCACAGACACTGAGCTTTCCCCCCCTTCATTTAGTGTTCCATTATCCAAGAAATAACTTCATAATACCACACTTGCCAAATAGATTGCCTAAATTTATGGCTTTTTTAATGGTTTGCCAAATTTAGATGCAGAAAAATTATAGGCCTTTAAAATCATATTTCAATCCTGCACAGAATATAAATATTTGGAAATTAGAAATTACACCAGGTGCCACATAGAATATAAATAGATCATACAATTCAGAACTTTATCTAAAGACTGTTCTCACAAATTAAGATATTCTAAAGTATGATTATGGAATCTCAAAATCAAATCTTATCCTGTCTTTGAGAATGCATTATTTCATTTGATTTGTTCAGTTAATTTCTTGCTTTAGTCCATTTCAGCACATTCTTGTGGGCTTCAAGTTGCAAGTTTTGTTAATAATAATAGCTATTCCTTAAAAGTTTCAAGAGCTGAATACTGGGATGCTCCATTTGTGAAATACTATGATTAAACATTTCCAAGTAAATTTGCAAAAAAAAAGCACCCAAAGTTTAGAGGACTTATGTATAAAAAGTTATTTTTCAATAGTAAGTATGAGAAATGCCAAGAAAATATGCCGATTGCTATGTTAAAGTATTTTCATTTTTTTAATTCAATATCAGCTTTGTCTCCAAAATTTTGTAATAAAGTGATTCTAATTATAAAAATATTTATAAATCTTGTCACCTTTATCTTCTATTTTGATTTGTAGAATATTGCAATTTATTTGGACCCAATGTGAATTATATTTGCACCACAACAAATTCAGAGTCCATTTCTACTCCATACATTTCTTATTGTGATAAGAATACTGTTTTTAGTGTAATTATGTTCAGCAAAAATTTTTTGTGTGTTATCACTGAAAAAATAAGTAACCTATCTTCAATGTCAACATTTTCAACTAAAATTGTTATACTTTTTACACTATTGTCAGATTTTAAACTTTGATAGAATGACCTTCCATAGCTTTATTTTGAGTCATTGAATTGGATTAAAAAATCAAACTAGTATTGAAATATATTAATTTTATGTTTGAGGCATATGATAAAATGAAATAAAGTAGCCATAACTTAAATGTTTATAAAATTATTTTCTGCTAGTAGAGGCAGCACATTAACAACTGTTGCTTAACTTATGGTACATATATTTAAGAAGTTGGGAGTTGAATAGAATGAACAGCATGCTTTCTGTCATTCTTAGGTTGTTTTGTTCTGACTGACATGACCTAAAAGTAAGTACATGTGGAAGAAGGTCATTATGGAACTTACTGGTAATTTATTTGCAGAATTAAATGAAAATAATAGTGATAAATAAGGGAATGCATATTGATTGTAATCCAATCTCTTATGTCTTCCTGTATCCATGCTTTTCGGTAGTGCCCTCTCATGCTGACACTTGGTTATGTCACTTGCTTAGACCAGTGGGGTTGTAGCAATGTTGATGTAAGCAAGGTCTTGAAAAAATCTTCACGTGATTAATACGGCCATTATGGAAAACAGTATGCAGTTCCTCAAAAAACTAAAACTACAACTTCCATATGCTCCAGCAATCCTACTTCTGGGTATAAATCCAAAGGAAATGAAATCAGTATGTCAAAGAGATAGCTGCACTCCCATATTCATTGCAGCATTATTCACAATAGCCAAGAAAAGAAATCAATCTAAGTGTTCATCAGAAGATGAATGAATAAATAAAATATGGCATATATACACAATAAGGTAATAATCAGACTTTAAAAAGAAGAAAACCCTGTTATGTGTGACAACATGGATAAACCTGGAGGACTTTATGTTAAGGAAAATAAACCAGACACGGAAAGACAAATACTGTATGACCTCAGTTATACGAGGGGGCTTTAAAAAGTTATGGAAAGTGTGTATTATGAAAAAGTTATGCATGGATTTCATGTTTTTTGCACCAGAATAAACTTGTAGTACCTTGTTATAACAGCTATGAACAGGATCTAATTTGAGGCACTAAAAAGAATAAGACATCAGTTTCAAAAGAGCACCTATCAGAACCACATAAATTCTGCAAAAATTGAAGCAAGAACAAACACCAAATTTATAGTAAAACTTAGGTAGAAAAATGAAGACATCATTGATGCTTTACAAAGTTATGGGGATGATGCTCCAAATAAATCAGGAGTTTACAAATGGACAATGAAGCAATGTTGAAGATGAAGCCCACAGAGGCAGACCATCCACATCAATTTTCAAGGAAAAAAATTTATCTTATTTATTCCCTAATTGAAGAGGACTGACAATAACAGAAACAAAAGCCAACACCATAAACATCTCAATTGTGTCAGCTTACACAATTCTGAGTGAAAAATTAAAGTTGAGCAAACTTTCCACTCAATGGGTGCCAAAAATGTTGCTTCCAGAACAGTTGCAGATGAAAGAGAGCAGAGCTTTCAATGGAAATCTTAAACAAGTGGGATCAAGACCCTGAAGCATTTCTTCAAAGAATTGTAACAGGAGATGAAACATGGCTTTACCAATATGATCCTGAAGACAAAGCACAGTCACAGCAATGGCTACCAAGAGGTGGAAGTGGTCCAGTTAAAGCAAAAGTGAACTGGTCAAAAGCAAATGTCATGGCAACAGTTTTTGGGGATACTCAAGGAATTTTGCTTGTTGACTTTCTGGAGAGCCAAAATATAATACTATCTGCTTATTATGAGAGTGTTTTGAGATAGTTAGCCAAAGCATTAGCAGATAAATGCCTGGGAAACTTCACCAGAAAGTCTTTTTCTACCATGACAATGCTCCTGCTCATTCCTCTCTGCAAACAGGGGCAATTTTAGGCATCCACCTTACAGTCCTCACTTGGCTCTATCTGACTTTTTTTATTTTCTAATCTTAGAAAATGTTTAAAGCCACCCATTTTTCTCAGTTAATAATGCCCCTCCCAAAAAAAAGACTGTATTAACATGATTAAATTCCCAAGGCCCTGAGTTCTTTAGGGATGAACTAAATGGCAGGATTGTTGCTTACAAAAGTGTCTTGAACTTGATGGAGCTTATGTTGAGATATAAAGTTTAGAGAAGTAGAGAATAGAATGGTGGTTACCAGTGGCTGGAGGCCAAAAGCGGGGGAGACTGGAGAGATGTTTGTCAAAGCACACAAAATTAGACAGTTTGACAGGAGAAATAAGTTCAAGAGATCTATTGTACAACATAATGACTAGAGTTCATAAGAATATATTGTATACTTACAAATTACTTAGGGAGATTTTTGTTCTCAACCCAAAAAAATCTGAGTATGAGAGGTAATATATATGTTAATTAGCTTGAATTAGCAGTTCTGCAATGTATACATATATCAAAATATGATGGTTTATACCACAAATATATACAATTTTTGTCAATTAAAAATATATTTTGTAATCCTCACAAAAATGAAAATAAACAAAATTAATTTAGAAGAACAGTCATTTGAGCTAAATGAAAAGTTATGATTCAGAGTAATCTGCAAATGTATCTTTTGTGTCTCCCCAAAATTCATATATTGAAACTTAATCTCCAATGTGATATTGTTAGAAAGTGGCATCTTAGGGAGGTGATTAGGTCATGAGGATTTGCCCTCATGAATGATATTAGTGCCCTTATAAAAGAGACCCCAAAGAGCTAGTTATCCCCTCTGCCATGTAAGAACACAACAAGATGGTGCCTTCTATGAGGAACAAGCCCTCACCAGTCACCAAATCTGGCTGTTTCTTGATCTTGTACTTCCCAGACTCAAGAATTGTGAGAAATAGATGTCTGCTGTTTATAAGCTGCCCATTCTCAGATGTTTTGTTATAGCAGCCCAAATAGACTAAGACATAGCTGCATGTGTTAAATCATCGTATGTAGGCACAGCCTTCTTACAATAATTACTAACTGAAATAGATGCTGATGGTCCTTTAGGAGAACTGTTTCTGGTTTTCATTTGGTTGTGACCAAGAATATATAAGAAATAGAAATTTAGTATATAGTACTTTAATTAAATATGTAGTTTTAATTTTATTTATTTCTGTCGGAAGGGTTTTATTGCAAAGTTAGAAAATATTTACTAAACACTAAAAACCAAATAATTATTGGTTTATACCACACAGTAAATGGCAAAATCAGTGTAGCAAGGCTGTCTAACTACACCCTATATGCCTTATAGCAGGGCTGGCCAGTCTAATTTCCCAAGTTTTCAGCTTACCCTATCAATTGGCAGCCTGGCAGCTTTGTGAATTTTGTAGACTAAAACATCGACTAGATAAATATATGAATGGTCCATTGAATGGTCAGTAAAGGAGCAGAATGGGCATGAGACAATTTGTCACAAAGATCAAAGAAGAGAAACTGAGACAGTCTGTGTGCATTCCATCACCTACCATTTTACTGAGATGAAGTTAATATTTCTCCAAGAATCTTCAGTTTCTTCTCCAATGTCACCATCCTGATTTCCAGAAATTGCCTCGTGTCTAGAGCAGCCATTTTCTTTCCATTCATCTATTTTCTGTGGTGATGAGCTGCTGAGCTGGTCCCATGTTTTTGATTAAGGTGAATAATCTTTGTGTGGTCTTCCCCGTCTTTAGTTTGCTGATGGGTTGTAAAGTACTAGTTCAGTTTCTAGTGTTTTAAGAAGTTCCTGCTTTTGATACGTCTTTGAGGGACTGGCTGTGAGACCCACTTGCTGCCTTGCTTCAATTTAGTGTCTACCAAGCACAAAGTGGTTTTGAATGAAAACTCTATAATTAGGCTTGGTCATCTAGGTTAGTTGGTTACATAGGTGAAATGGCTTTTCTTGATGTTGAGCTCGTAGTCTAGCCATGTTTATCCATAATTGGACTTGCCTTTTGCCTAGGGAAGTATCCAAGTGAACTCCAGAGCATATTGCTGTATTTAGCCATGACTTACTGCTTTCCAAACACTGTATTCTCCAGAAGGTACACTTTGAGATGGTGATTTCATGCAGGAGATTTATTAGGAAGTATTTTGGGGGCCAACACCTGTGGAAAAAGAAAATAGAGACAAGTTCAGCTGCAATACAATCTCAATAGAAGCCTCTGCTGACCCTATTGGGAGTTCTGAAGAGGTAATGAGCCTTACCAGCTGTCCTGAATTGGGGTGAAGTGGCCAGGCTTTTATAACCACATGTTCATCAGTCATTGAATGAAGGCTACCTATGAAGAGTGTGTAGGCTAGGTTAGGCAGCTTTTGTCAGCTGAGGTCATCCTCAAAGGGGGCTAAGAGCTGAGAGGCTGTCTGCTGGCAGCACACCTAGCATCTGACATAATAAGCCCTTTATTCCTGACAGGGAATCTTCTTGCATCACAGCACCTACACCATTGCCCTTGGATACATTAATAGAGTTCTCCTATTATTGGCTTTTTTTTTTTTTTTTTTT
Organism: Homo sapiens; assembly: GCF_000001405.40. Classification (NCBI taxonomy): domain Eukaryota; kingdom Metazoa; phylum Chordata; class Mammalia; order Primates; family Hominidae; genus Homo; species Homo sapiens. Next base: position 86,119,585 of record NC_000004.12, on the reverse strand, counting down.
TTGTGATGGAGTCTTGCTCTGTCACCCAGGCTGGAATGCAGTGGCTCACTGCAACCTCTGCCTGCCGGATTCCAGCAATTCTCCTGCCTCAGCCTCTGAGTAGCTGGGATTACAGGTGCGTGCTACCACGCCTGGCTAATTTTTGTATTTTTAGTAGAGACGGTGTTTCACCATGTTGGCCAGGCTGATCTCAAACTCCTGACCTCGTGATCCGCCTCGGCCTCCCAAAGTGCTGGGATTACAGGCGTGAGCCACATCGCCCGGCCCTATTGGCTTTTTATTCCCAACATGCTGAGAACAAATTTGCAGAAAATCGAAGGCAAAAGTGCGTAGGGCCCTCAAAAATCACTGTGCATCTCTGAAACTTTGATAAGCCTACTTTTATACTTTGTTATATGATATAATGAATATCTTTATTACTTAAGTTATTATTATTCAGAATTCTGTTACTTGTAATTGAAAGTATTCTCAACAAATATAACCAAACTTGTACAGCCAAACCATTCAATGACAAAATAATTAACCAAAAAAATCAACTGTTGACTTTTGATAGAAAAACTAAAAAAAGCCTCTCTGAGGAGATAATATTTGGGCTGAAATCTGAATCACAAATGGGGTTAGCCAAGTGAGGATGCAAGAAGAGCATTCCTGTTAGGGGGAACAATTGCAGAATCCTAAGGCAGAAGTGAATTTGGCAGGTTCAAAAACATGATTCTTATTAAAGAATTTGGTTTGCCAGGCTATGATTTAAGATGTTTAAGATGCTCCAGTAATGCTTAGGGATTTCCCCCACAAATATTTAATATGATTACAAACATTTTAAATGTAAAGGGAAAGAGGAACAAGAAAAATTGTCAAATAAATGATTATGACTTAGGAAGAAGAACATTTGTGTAAGAGGTTATCTGCAATTGTCAGAAGAAAAAAATACCTGATAAATATATTGAGAACAAGATTTGCCTTCAGAGATGTGTGTGTGTGTGTGTGTGTGTGTGTGTGTGTGTGTATGTGTATTTATATAAATACATACAAGGAGGTAAACATAGCTTTATAGCATCATCAAGCTGAATTAAATGACAGGAGCATAACAGCAGAAAGCTCTATCACTCTTTTAGGAATAAACCTGGTAGAAGTGGAGGTGTGTTAGTACTGTATGCCAAGAAGTTGCTGGAAAATCTTCAGCAGTGTGGCTGGAGAATTGTTGGAAAAATCTTCATAAAGACCTATCTCCATTTTTACCTGCATAAAGATAGCAGAAAGAAAAAAATACTGAAAGAAAAAAAGTAAGATTCCACAGGCCAAGATTCTTGGAAAAATAGATGACTCAAGAGTAATAGAAAACTTTCAGACATGAATCTGTGACTGTACCGCATCAATGATGCCAATTTGCAGATGTATTTGCTAAACTTCTGCCAGTAATCACTGAGGAATTACAGAAAATGGGAAAGATTGTAGTGTCAGCCAAGGTTCATGGCAGAAGACAGAAGCATTTTAAGCAGCAGAGATTAAATGCTGTAAATGGGTGCCTGCAGTTACAGGAAGGCCTGGAGAAGTGGGCTGTACTCTGGGCTACCTTGAATGACTCCCAGACACCCAAGAGCTGAATCACCAGGGAGCTCCCACCTCTGAGAGTATCCTAGAACCATCAGATTTCCAGAACATACAATCAAAGCTGAGATAGGAAATCATAGAGCTGGAACTATGCACTTACTGTTGCCATGGCTACTCTATTATGCTGTGAACGGGGGAGTGGAACCTGGAGTTCATTGGGGACTCTGCTTCCACTCCTCCTCTTAACCAGGAATCTAGAGAATGACATGAATTATTGCTTTGGAAGAAAACCTCACATCTCCACAAGACCTTGCTTCCCAAATAAGACATGTCAGAAGATGCTGATAATCCTCACTTCTGCATTACAAATCGCTCATAGGTGCATCTGCAGGATCTTACTTGGATCCAGAGTGCTAGCTGCAAAAGCTTCTGGGAATTGTACACTTAACTCTGAAGTTTTATCTTTAATATAGGAAGGTATGACATAGAAGAGTCAGATGGAAGTTCAGTAAACCAAACCACAGTATCCACACAATTCAAGACAGCCAAAAGTTCTTATTTCTTTAGAGGAAGGGATAGCTTATAAGAGACACCTCCTGAACTCAACACTGGTCCTTGTATTGGTTAGAAAAGATACCCTGTGAACCATTAAGACAGGGTGTAGTGATCACTGGGAATAGGGGGTTTGTTAAAAACAAATCATACAGATAGTTTATTAAAGTGGTAAGCCAGAGAACTGTATGGCTACAGCGTATATATGTATGTATGCGTGTATTTATTATTTTTATTGATATGGGGTGGTCTCACTATGTTGCCCATGCTGGTCTTGAACTCTCGGGCTCAAGCAATCCTCCTGCCTCAGCTTTCTGGGTAGCTGGGACAATAGGCACATGCCACTGTGCCCAGCTTATAATGTATTTAAAGTTTAACAAAGCTTTTTGTCTTTTTGGAAGATGTATTTTATGATGTCATGGGATATACTTGAAAAATGTGGTCATGATGGTGGTACAGTTGAATGTATTTGTAATTAGCAGAAAGACTAAAGAACTACTGATTAGCAGATATGTGTCCAATTGTTGCCTATGCTGTAGGAATTAATGCTTTATCCTGTCCTACATAATGAATCTGGGAAGAACATTGATTTTAAAAATAGTAATAGCCATCATTTACTCAGTGCTCACTCTAGGTGAGGCACTATTTATACATTATTAACTCTTTTACTCCTTACAGCAAGCTTGTCAAGTTGTTATTCTCTTCATTTTAAGTATGAGGAAACTGATGTCAGAAAGTGTAAATGACTTGCCCACATTTAGTAAGCAGCAGGGCTGACATTCATACCTAAAATTGCTTTGAGGAGGAAGTACCAGACAGAGGGAGAATGCCACAACGTTTCCAGGAGAACTGTCTAGCTTTTTGCCTGCCAAGAAACCCCACAGGGTGGGATTTTCTCAGTTATTCCACATGAGATAGGGGGATGGCCCACTGTCTTGCATGATCTGGTCAATATCTCAGGGACTCAAACTTACACTGACAATCCTCACTACCATCTCACATATAAAACCAGATGCCCGTTTTTTGAAATTATGAAAGATGTAACAGTCAGGCTGACCAAATATAGACAATATTCTTATACACATATAAAGTCTTGATTAGTATAATGTTGAATAAGTCTTGATTAGTATAATGTTGGCTGTAGAGGATCGAATCAGCCCAAGGAGACTCTGATCAGAATGCTAACTGGCTGTAGTTTCTGACAATCACAATATGAATGTGTCCATCTGGTTGGCTGACAGGATCTCTAGACCTACATGGAAAGGTACTTTCTTATTTGGCCAAGAAGTGCCAGAGTTTGCCTCTCCAACTCCCTTATATGCCTTCATGACTGATTGCCATTCTTTCTTTTGATATTTTAATAATTTCAGCTAAGTTAATTTTGGCTTAAGATTTAGTTCTTGTCTTTGAGGTGATGGATCAATTTTCTGCCAATACAATGACTTAACTTTAGACAGTAAGTTTAATTCCTGTGTTTCCAAATCCACTGTTGCCCTTGTATGTTACCTATAAGAAACATGCCCACTTGGCTCTTTATCTGTGCTGCCATTGGTAGGTGAAAAAGAACAAACACAAGCACAGAAGCACCAGTGCTGACATATTAGTGTAAGAGCAGCACAAGATTTTTAAGAGACAGTATTTTAAATTAACACAGGCTCACTGTGAGTCAATAGGGTGGGATGGAGGGAGAGGAGCCAAGATGGCTGATTAGAAGCAGCTCCAGGCCGGGCCTGGTGGCTCATGCCTGTAATCCCAGCACTTTGGGAGGCCAAGATGGGCGGATTACTTGAGGTCAGGAGTTTGAGACCAGCCTGACCAACATGGAGAAACCCCGTCTCTACTAAAAATACAAAATAAGCTGGGCGTGGTGGCGCATGACTGTAATCCCAGCTACTCAGGAGGCTGAGGCAGGAGAATCACTTGAACCCAGGGGTCGGAGGTTGCGGTGAGCCAAGATCGTGCCATTGGACTCCATTCTAGGCAACAAGAGCAAAACTGTCCAAAAAAATAGAAGCAGTTCCAGTCAGCAGCTCCCACTGAGAAGAATGAAAACAGTGAGTGAATCCTGCTCCATCAACTGACGTATCCAGGTTCTCTCACTGGGACTGAATAGGCAGTTGGTATGACCCATGCAGAGTGAGGAAAAGCAGGGTGGAGCAATGATCCGGGAGCTGCATGGGATAAGGGGAACTCCCACACCCAGCCAAGAGAGGTGGTGAGTGACTGCGCTGCCCCGCCTGGGAAACCATGCTTTTTCCATGGATCTGTGCATCCTGTGGATCAGAAGATCCCCTCATGGGCCCACATCACCAAGGCCTTTGGTTCCAGGCACAGAGCTGTGCCACCTGCTTGGGTTGCAACCAGTAGCAGCAGGCTGGACAATGCCTAATACAACCGAGTGCCTGGGGAAGGGGTGGCCAGTCACCATCACTGCAACTCCAGTTGGCCATTTTACGCTGCTGGTGTCAGGGAGACTGGGTGGTTTGAACTGAGAGGAATTTCCCATAGCAGCACATCACAGTGGCTGTGGCAGATCGTGGCCAGACTGCTTCTTTAGGTGGAACCTGGATCCATCCCTCCTCACTGAGCAGGGCCTCCCTGCAGAAATTGTAGCATCTCCAGCCAGGGGTTTTCAGACAGAACTCTGATATCCCTGGGAAGGAGCCCCTGAGGGGAGGAGCGGCCACAGTCTCACAGTTGGGGGCACCTAGTCTTTCCTGCCTGCTGGCAGTCCAGATGAGGGGGATTCTCCCCAGCACAGCCCAACCTGCTCAGCCAAGGGGTAGTCAGACTGGTTCTTTAAACAGTTCCCTGATCCTGTGCCTCCTGACTGAGTGAGACCTCCCAACAGGGGTTGCCAGACACCTCCTACAGGAGTGTTCTGGCCAGCATCAGCTCAGTGCCCCTCTGGTATGGAGCTTCCAGAGGAAGGAGCAGGCAGCCATCTTTGCTGTTTGGCAGCCTCCACTGGTGATACCTCCAAGTGCAGGAGGGACCCAGGTGAACTGGGTCTGGAGTGGTCCCCCAGTAAACCACAGCAGCCCTATGGAAGTTGGGCCATACTGTTAAACAAAAGACCCCACAAAAACCCCGTCCAAAGGTCAGCAGCCTCAAAGATCAAAGGTAGAAAAACCCATGAAGATTTGAAAGAATCAATGCAAATATGCTGAAAACTCAAAAAGCCAGAGTCCCTCTTCTCCTCCAAATGATTGCAGCACCTCTCCAGTGGGGGCACAGAACTGGGGTGAGACTGCAATGGATGAATTGACAGAAGTAGTCTTCAAAAGGTGGGTAATAACGAACTTTGCTGAGCTAAAGGAATATGTTCTAACCCAATGCAAAGAAGCTAAGAACCATGATAAAACATTACAGGAGCTGTTAACTAGAATAACCAGTTTCGAGAGGAACATAAATGACCTGATGGAGCTGAAAAACACAAAACAAGAGCTTCACAATTTAACCACAAGTATCAATAGCCAAATAGACCAAGTAGAGGAAAGGATCTCAGAGCCTGAAGACTATCTTGCTGAAATAAGACAGGCAGGCAAGGTTAGAGAAAAAAGAATGAAAAGGAATGAACAAAACTTCTGAGAACTATGGGATTATGTAAAAAGACCGAACATATGACTGATTGGAGCATCTGAAAGAGATGAGGAGAATGGAAGCAAGTTGGAAAACATACTTCAAAATATCATCCAGGAGAACATCTCCAACCTAGTAAGACAGACCAACATTCAAATTCAGGAAATCCAAAGAACCCCGGTGAGATACTCTATGAGAAGATCAACTCCAAGACACACAATCAAATTCTCCAAGGTCAAAATGAAGGAAAAAATGTTAAGAGCAGCCAAAGAGAAAGGCCAGGTCACCTACAAAGGGACACCCATCAGACTAACAACAGACCTCTCAGCAGAAACCCTACAAGTCTGAAGAGATTGGAGGCCAATATGCAACATTCTTAAAGAAAAGAGTTTCCAACCCAGAATTTCATATCTGGCCACACTAATCTTCATAAATGAAGGAGAAATAAAATCCTTTTCAGACAAGCAAATGCTGAGGGAATTTGTCACCACCAGGGCTGCCTTAGAAGAGCCCCTGAAGGAAGCACTAAATATGAAAAGGAAAAACCATTACCAGCCACTACAAAAACACGCTGGAGTACAGAGACCAATGACACTATGAAGCAACTATATTAACAAGCCTGCAAAATAACCAGCCAGCATCATGATGACAGGATCAAATTCACACATAACAATATTGACTTTAAATGTAAATGGGCTAAATACCCTAATTAAAAGACACAGAATGGCAAGCTGGATAAAAAGACAAGACCCAACAGTGTGCTATATTCAAGAGGCCAATCTCTGTGCACAGACACACATAGGCTCAAAATAAAGGGATAGAGGAAAATTTATCAAGTAAATGGAAAGCAGAAAAAGGCAGGGGTTGCAATCCTGGTTACTGAAAAACAGACTTTAAAACCAACAAAGATAAAAAAAAAAAGACAAAGAAGGACATTACATAATTGTAAGGGTTCAATTCAACAAGAAGAGGTAACTCTCCTAAATATATATGCACCCAATACAGGAGCACACAGTTTCATAAAAGAAGTTCTTGGAGACTTTCAAAGAGACTTAGACTCCCACACAGTAATAGTGGAAACTTTAACACCCCACTGTCAATATTAGGCAGATCATCGAGACAAAAAATTAACAAAGATATTCAGGGCTTGAACTCAGCTCTGGATCAAGTGGACCTGATAGATATCTACAGAACTTTCCACCCCAAAACAACAGAATATACATTCTTCTCAGTGCCACTGGCACTTACCCTAAAATTAATAATATAATTACAAGTAAAACACTCCTCACCAAATGCAAAATAAGTGAAATCATAACAAACAGTCTTTCAGACTACAGTGCAATCAAAGTAGAACTCAAGATTAAGAAACTCACTCAAAACCACACAACTACGAGAAAGGTGAACAACATGCTCCTGAATGACTCCTGGGTAAATAATGAAATTAAGGCAGAAATCAAGCAGTTCTTTGAAACCAATGAGAACAAAGAGACAACATACCAGAACCTCTGGGATGCAGCTAAAGCAGTGTCAGGAGGGAAATTTATAGCTCTAAGTGCCCACTTTGAAAAGCTAGAAAGATCTCAAATTGATACCCTAACATCACAACTAAAATAACTAGAAAACTAAGAGAAAACAAACCCCAAAGCTAGCAGAAGACAAGAAATAACCAAGCTCAGAGCAGAACTGAAGGAGATAGAGACACGAAAAATCCTTCACAAAAATCAATGAATCAGGAGCTGGTTTTTTTTTTTTGGAAAAGTTAATAAAATAGACCACTAACTAGATTAATAATGAAGAAAAGAGAATAATCAAATAGACACAATAAAAAATGATAAAGGGGTTATCACCCCACAGAACTACAAACTGCCATCAGAGAATACTATAAACAACTCTACACAAATAAACTAGAAAATCTAGAAGAAACAGATAAACTCCTGGACATATATGCCCTCCTCAAACTGAACCAGGAAGAAGCTGAATCCCTGAATAGACCAATAACGAGTTCTGAAATTGAGCAGTAATAAATAGCCTACCAACCAAAAAAAGCCAAGATGGATTTACAGCTGAATTCTACCAGAGGGGCAAAGAGGAGCTGGTACTATTTCTTCTGAAACTAGTCCAAACAATTGAAAAGGAGGGACTCTTCCTAACTCATTTTATGAGGCCAGCATTATCCTGATACCAAAACCTGGCAGAGATATAACAAAAAAAAGAAAACTTCAGGCCAATATCCCTGATTAGCATTGATGCAAAAATCCTCAATAAGATACTGGCAAACTGAATCCAGCAGCACATAAAAAAGCTTATCCACCATAATCAAGTTTGCTTCATCCCCAGGATGCAAGGCTGGTTTAACATACGCAAATCAATAAATGAAGTTCATCACATCAAACAGAACTAAAGACAAAAAACACATGATTATTTCAATAGATGCAGAAAAGTCCTTCAATAAAATTTAGCATCATTTCATGTTAAAACTCTCAATAAACTAGGTATTGAAGGAACATACCTCAAAATATTAACAGCCATTTACAGCAAACCCACAGCCACTATCATACTGAATGGGCAAAAGCTGGAAGCACTCCCCCTGAAAACTGACACAAGACAAGGATGCCCTCTCTCTTCATGCCTATTAAACATAGTAATGGAAATTCTGACCAGAACATCGGGCAAGAGAAAGAAATATAGAGGATATTCAAATAAGAAGAGAGGAAATCAAATTGTCTTTGTTTGCAGGTGGCATGATCCTATATCTAGAAAACACCATAATCTCAGCCCAAAAGCTCCTTAAGCTGCTAAGTGACTTTAGCAAGCTTTCAGGATACAAATTTAATCTGAAAAAGTCACATGCATTTCTATACACCAATAGATAAGCAGAGAGCCAAATCATGAATGAACTCCCATTCACAATTGCTACAAAGAGAATAAAATACCTAGGAATACAGCTAACAAGGGACATAAAGGACTTCTTTAAAGAGAACTACAAACCACTGCTCAAGGAAATCAGGACACAAACAAATGAAAAAACATTCCGTGCTCATGGATAGGAAGAACAAATATTGTGAAAATGGACATACTGCCCAAAGTAATTTATAGATTCAATGCAATTCCCATTAAACTACCATTGACATTCTTCACAGAATTAGAAAAAACTATTTAAAAAATCATATGGAACCAAAAAAGAGCCCAATAGCCAAGACAATCCTAAGCAAAAAGAAGAAAGCTGGAGACATCATACTACCTGACTTCAAACTATACTACAAGGCTGCAATAACCAAAACAGCATGGTAATGTTACAAAAAAATGAAAAAGATACATAGACCAATGGAACAGAATAGAGAACTCAGAAATAAGACTGCACGTTTACAACCATCTGATCTTTGACAAATCTGACAAAAACAAGCAATGGGGAAAGCATTCCCTATTTAATAAATGGTGCTGGGAAAACTGACCAGCCATATGCAGAAAATTGAAACTGGACCTCTTCCTTACACCTTATACAAAAATTAACTCAAGATGGATTAAAGAAGTAAATGTAAAACCCAAAACTATAAAAATCCTAGAAGAAAATCTAGGCAATACTATTCAGGACATAGGCATGGGCAAAAATTTCCTGATGAAAATGGCAAAAGCAATTGCAACAAAAGCAAAAAAGGACAAATGGGATCTAATTAAACTAAAGAGCTTCTGGACAGCAAAAGAAACTGTCATCAGACTGAACAGACAACCTACAGAATGCGAGAAAACTTTTGTAATCTATCCATCTGGCAAAGGTCTAATATCCAGAGTCTACAAGAAATTTAAACAAATTTACAAGAAAAAAACCAACCTCATATAAAGGGGGCAGAGGACATGAACAGTTACTTCTCAAAAGAAGACATTTATGCAGCCAACAAACATGAAAAAAAGCTCAACATTACTGGTTATCAGAGAAATGCAAATCAAAACCATAATGAGATACCATCTTATGTCATTCACAATGGTGATAATTAAAAAGTCAAGAAGAAACAGATGCTGGCAAGGCTGCGGATAGGGATGCTTTTACACTGTTGGTGGGAATGTAAATTAGTTCAACCATTGTAGAAGACAGTATGGCATTCCTCAAAGACCTAGAACCAGAAATATCATTTGACCCAGCAATTCCATTACCGGGTATATACCCAAAGGAATATAAATCATTCTGTTGTAAAGATACTTGCATGCATATGTCCATTGCAGCGCTATGCACGATAGCAAAGACATGGAATCAACCCAAATGCCCATCAATGATAGACTGGATAAAGAAAATGTGGTACATATGCATCATGAAATACTATGCAGTCATAAAAAGGAATGACATCTTGTCCTTTGCAGGGACATGGATGGAACTGGAAGCCATTATTCTTAACAAACTAATGCAGGAACAGAAAACCAAACACTGCATGTTCTCACTTATAAGTGGGAGCTGAACAATGAGAAGACATGGACACAGGGACGGGAACCAGACACATTGGGGCCCGTTGGGGCCAGGAAGCAGAGGAGGGAGAGCATCAGGAAAAATAGCTAATGCATGCTGGGCTTAATACTTAGGTGATGGGTTGATAGATGCAGCAAACCACCATGTCCCACATTTACCAATGTAACAAACCTGCACATTCTGCACATGTACCCAGGAACTTTAAATAAAATAAATTTTTTTAAAAAGTGAAAAAGAATAGTGTGGAATGTCATTATTAAAGAGTTCCAGGACAGACTTAGCTGTATAAACAATGTCAGAACAGGATTGTTGAATGAATGAGCAAAGGAATGAATGAGAGAGTTACTAGCTCTACCCTAATCTTCAGTAACACTCTATACCCAGAGTAGCAATGTTTATTTAGCACAAGGTCCACATTTTCAGAGCATATTGACACACTGGAGTTTATTCAGAGGAAACTGACCAGATAGTAACGGGACTTGAAACCACATCTGACAAGTGATGGTAGGGGACTGGTAATATTTAATTTAAGAAAGTAAAGACTTAGGGGAAAAATGCTAAAAGCTAAGAGTTAAGAGTGTTGACTCTAGGCCACGCATTGTGTGCAGCCTTTTAATAGATTTCATATATTATGGTTAATAATGGAAAGGAAACATTTTATTTTGAGTTGCCCTGGAAGGCAGGACTAACAGTCGTCAGTGGAAACTGCAGAAAGATAACTCTGTTTATTAGAATGATGGCATTTCTATTCTCAAAGCTGCCGAACAATAGAAAGAGCTGCTTAGATATAATGATTTCCATGTTTTTGGAGGTGGGCAAACAGAGACTGGTGAAACTTTTCATGGACATATTTTAGAGAGGAATGAGTATTAAATGAAAGTATGGACCAGGTGAACTCTAAGACTTTTTTCAACCTTATTCTGTGAATCTATCATTTTCTTACAGTACAGAAATTCCATTTTTTGCCCCTAGTTCTGTGGCATGAGGCTTCAATGGTCAATGTTACTTCTAATTTAGTAGATCAGTTGTAGTGGATTCTGGTTTTGCATTTCCTCCTGACAACTAAGACAAAACCCAGCAGGACTCAAAGTTTCAGGGATGGGTCACATATTTTGTGAGTGCATCATTAGGTATAATGGCAAAAAGAGCCTCTCTCACTTTCTCATTTGATCTCTAAACTCATGTACTCTGCATATGAGAGAAATAGCACCAAATATTTAGATAGCTTTTTCAAAGCATTGTAAATTTTCAATCTCGGTGTGAAAGCTTCACATGTGAATAGCATTTATTTTTGTCTTTGTATTTAAATGCAGTTATTTATGTTTCTAAAACTCTCTGATTGCATTTCTTATTTTGAGCTTTGTTATTGTTAATGAGAGTACACTTTGATCATCAGCCCACCAGTGCTTTTATGGCAATTAACATCACATCTTAAAAATTGGTTCTTAGTTGGGTGACATAGTATGTGGCTGTAGTCACAGCTACTAAAGAGACTGAGGCAGGAAGATACCTTGAGCTCAGGAGTTCAAGACTAGCCTGGGGAACATAGCAAGACTCTGTTTCTAAAAAACAATAACAAACAAAACACCTGGTTCTTGTGAATGGGTATAGAAAATGTTCATTTAAAACAAACAAAGAACAATGAAATTTTATAGCTATAAAAATTAAATATCATATATTAACAGATGAGAAATTCAAGCTCAGAGAGATTAAATGACTTGCCATAGTCACATGGCTAGTGGGAAATTTGAATGCCTGTCTTACTTCTTTATTCCACCCACTCACTGAGGCAATTATATGCTATATTCTTGGCAAGATCTTTTTCTTCTCCTTTGCCCTCTTCTACTCCTTCCCCCCTTCTCCTGTTTCTCCTTCTTCCCTTCCTCCAACTCTTCTTCATCCTCCTAGCATGTAGAATATTCTTATGCCAGTCACTCATATCTTTACTTAAAGCCTGATTGGCATGTGACCAGAGTAGACAGTATCTAAGATTCCGAAATAGCATTTTCTTTACCAGTATCCTTAATCAAGTAGGCAAGAGTTCTAAGGAATCTTTTGTTCTTAATTCTGAGTTGCTCTTGGATCTCTACAGTGCCGCGTATGATGCTGTCCTTGACAGAAATGTGGCCATTAAGAAGCTCAGCAGACCCTTTCAGAACCAAACACATGCCAAGAGAGCGTACCGGGAGCTGGTCCTCATGAAGTGTGTGAACCATAAAAACGTGAGTTTTGTTATTTTTAAACTTCTGGCAGTGGGAGTTTGTAAGATTGGAAAAAGAAAATGTGTCTGTACTTGAGTAAGAAAGGCTTTCTTTGCTTTGCAATTCCTGCCTCTTAAGATTGTTTATCCTGCCAATATGCTACATTCGATTTCATTGTCCTCATGGTAGCTTTCTGCTTAAAAATCACCTAAAAACCATATGATGTGGAAGTGATGAATTTTATAAATATTTCCCTAGTTAGAAAATTTACCATATTTGGTTATCTTGCTCCAAATTGAGAGCTTCAAGAAAGAAACAAGACAAGCAAAGCCAAAAGCCAGAAAAAAAAAACCTACAAAGCACCATGCTACATTTCTTTATAATTTAGATTTAATTTAGATTTATAATTTAGATTTAATTGCCAACGGTTGAGTTTTATTCATGTTATCTCCTTTTTATTTCAGCTGTAGCCTGGTGGTGGCCTCTAATTGTTCAGTGAATTCACTGTGTGTTGGCATCTTATTTTTTTCAGGGGTGGGCAAGTATGTGAGTACATATTTGCAAACCACTTGAGAATAGGATCAAGAGCTTTTTCTCATCGGAACTCAGCTGGGTAGACCAGTAAAGGACTTTCTTCATTTCAGAATCTAAGCTCCTTCAATCACAGGCCAAGACCTCTAGAATTCTTTCTGTGCTCCACTTCTTCTTAATAAAGATAAATAGGAGATAATTCATTATTTTAATAACTTTTATTAATAAATAAATTATAATAAATACATCAAATACATTTTAGATATAAATATATAATAAATTATAAATTATTATAAATAAAATTTTATTTTCTTAAAAATCAAAAGATAACTTCATTACAAGTAAAATTATTCTATAGTATAATAGCTATAATAACTCTCTACAAAGTTCTTATGTATGAAAATTACACAGAACACATTACCAGTGCGGTTTTATAAACCAGGGATCTTGTCCTAATGCTCGCCATCTACCAGTGGCACTGAGAAGACACAAATGTGTTAGTATTAAGTTGAAAGATATTTGAAATGCAAATATGCAGATTCGGGCCCCATGACAGTATTTCTCTTTTCCTCTGTTACTCTACCCTGATGATTTTTTAATTCAGTCATTTGACATGTATGTGTTGAATGAATAAAATGTGCCAGGAACAGATCTAGATGGTGAAGAAAACAGACAAATTGCTGCCCATGTGGAGTTATGCTCTATTGGCAAGAGCAAGGCGATCCACAATAAGACAGGTCAATGTGTAAAATGTCAGGTGATGATAAGTGCTATTAAGTAAGGCAAAGCAAAGAAGGAATATTTAAAAATGCTGGTCAGTGTATGGTGGGATAGGTTTACCCTTTTAAATAGGCCAAGCAGCAAAGGCCTCACCAAGAAATTGAAATTTTATGAACTGCACACTCATATCTAATATGGCCATGCAACAAACATGAGACTTCTAGAAAGGAATATAGAAATGATAGAAAGGATGGTTCCTATGAAGAGTTATATACTAATTTGTTCTTTCAGTATGTTAAATAAAGGTAAGTGCAAGATTAGCCACATGATCAATGCAATATATTCTGTTATACCAAGGAGGATGGAGCATAACATGGGCAATGAAAAATGGATGGATACAAGCAATGAATCAATTGTATGGAAAGTTTTCCATACATGTATTTATATTTCCCTCATCCTCATTCCAGACCCTGTAATGCAATAGAATGTGGAGAAATGCTCACTTACTTGGTCAGTTTGAGAGAATACTTCCCATTCTTGACTGAAATGTTGGAGACTCATATTTATGAAGCCTAAAAAAGAGTTCCAGATTGCAGTGATAATTTATAAATAGCATCACACCTGCTACCTTCCTTTTATGTGTGTATGTATGTATGCAGAAGTCTACAGAAACACATTTCTGGAACTTTTTATGAAGAGGAAATTCACTTACAACCAAATGTAAATTTCGCATTAATAAGAACGTAGAACTGTGTTAATACTGTGGAAAGCAAAGCAAGAGCAAAATAATCCCATTAAATCTTTAATAATAGTGAAGAAAATCTGTTTAGAAAATACTTCTTTATGGTGTTAGTTTGGTCCCCTGTTTTCTGTATTTCTTATCAACTGAAAATTAGATTAAAATTGTTATCTAGAAAAAGAAAATAAATATTCAATTCCAGGAACTAGTGGGGCCTGACAAACATAGATTCACATCTGTGTGTCTCAAGATGCTGGAATAAAAGAACTGAGATTCCTGTCTGGAAACTGTTGGATTAAAATGGAAATTTTATAGCTGTGATAATCTCCTTCTACAGATGCCTTTTTAAAATTGACTATTGGTAGGAATTAGAATTTACAAGAGAGCAAATGAAGGATAGAAGAGAAATTCTCGAAGAGTAAAAAGTAATAAAACAAGGTCATAGGAAAAGGGAAAATAAGAACATACAGTAGGGAATAGATCTTGATAAATTACCTTTTAAAACAATAAATCTTGATTTATTTAAAATTGTAATGCTATTTTCTATATTTTTTAAATTATCTAGATTATTTGTTCACTAAGTGATCTGGGTTAGCATTTTTCCATTTTTAAGTAGTGTTCATGTGAATGTTTGTGTGGATGTAATGTGTGCTGTATACACAGTCTCTAATATTTTTGTTTGAACAAATAGCAAAATGAAATAAATTACTTTATGAGATTGATAAAGTCCTAGAGAAACAGACCCACTGTAGATGTTCCAATGAAAGGTGTACTTCATAGTCATTTTTCAACACTCACTAGCACTGAGTACACAGAATAACATGGCACTTTAATCACAAGTTATAAAGATAATTTTAAAACAATTTTATTTCTATATGAATATTCCACACTGCAAGGTTGCTTTAGAAGAGATGATCTTGTATTTTTAAAACTATATTACAACATTGCCATATATATGTATACTAGAAAATATTGGATGGTACTGTGGTTATTTTTTGTCAATAATTTCTCAATCAGTTAAAACTACGTGAGACATAAAACATTCCATAGAATTGAGTCAATTTCTCAGGTGTTTAAACTAATTTTGTTTTATGTTTATTACTCCACATGTCTTTATATCATTTATAAAGTTTACTGAAATTCATTGATTGATGCTTTGAAGCTGCTTAAATCTTGACCTTGTACTTATCTAATTTTTATAAAATAGTTGCAACTATCTTGTGAGTATAAGATTTTTATATATTTTTATATTCATTTCCTACTGGCACGTTAGTACCAAATATTTAGCTGGAAGAACATTTTGAGTTATTGATGTATGTACTCTACTGAGAAATGTGACAAGGGGTTTTTACAAAATTTGCTTATACTAGAAGGTAGATTTTTTTACTAGCTGATATATAAAATAAAGCAGGAAACAAAAAGCTTTTAACTGAATTTAAATAACTTTAAAATAATTTTCTATTAAATCCATCATTGATATCATCTAGAATGCACCTTTCCCCACACATATTATTGGAGCATTAGTTTAATATTTGAGTGTGAGGTAGAAGTAAAAAAAAATATAAAGTAACAACACAAAAAAATCATGAAGTAGAACACAACTTTGTTCATTTGGAGAAGTATCCCCTTGCTAAGTCTCACTGAGTGTTTTACTGCCACCTCTCTCCTCACATGGCATTTCTTCCTTTTTTGTTTAATCCCCCGAAGGCCCATATTCTGCCACGAGGAATCACACTTGAAAGCAGTGTAACAATTATGCATCTCTCTGACTCTTGCTTCTGCCCAAGAATTGAGCTTTTTAGCTGCATTATTAACCTGAAGACAGATCATCTGTTCTTTCTGAGCATACTTTTCTGTGTCCTCTGAGACAGCTCAAGACATTTTTCCAACTTCTCCATTTCTGCCATAGCACTAGTGAGTGACTTTGAGTTGAAATACAATTTAAAAATAATACATTCTCTCTCTTTTTTCTTTCTCTCGTTTCCTCTGTCCCTTCCACTCTCTTTCAGATTATTAGTTTATTAAATGTCTTCACACCCCAGAAAACGCTGGAGGAGTTCCAAGATGTGTAAGTAACAAAACTCATGAAGGAAGGGAGAGCACAGCACTCAGATAGCCCAAGGGAAAATCACACACCACACACACACACACACACACACACACACACACACACACACAGAGTTGAAATCCCTTATACTGCTCAAAGAGAGGTAAGAGGTGGGGTCAAATGAAAGGGGTCCAGTGATATGTAAAGAAGATTCTGTTTGTGGGGTTACTTCCTGGAAAGACATTCTGCCTCCTTTTGGCCTTGTGGCTTTATATACTTTGTTGTTCCATGCTCTTGGTCACTCAGGGAAGGCTTATTTATTTATATTTATTAATAGATTCCACAAACTTTCTACAATGAGTTAATTTACCTGAAGAAATAGTAATAAGGCCAGGCATGGTGGCTCACACCTGTAATTCCAGCACTTTGGGAGGCCGAGGCAGGTGGATCACAAAGTCAGGAGATCAAGACCATGCTGGCCAACATGGTGAAACCCCACCTCTACTAAAAATACAAAAATTATCCAGGTGTGGTGGCATGCACCTGTAGTCCCAGCTATTCAGGAGGCTGAGGCAGGAGAATTGCTTGAACCCGGGAGACGGAGGTTGCAGTGAGCTGAGATCGTACCACTGCACTCCAGCCTGGGTGACGGAGCGAGACTCCGTCTCAAAACAAACAAACAAAAAGAAATAGTAATAAAAGGGACGTGAAAATTATCTTTATTCTTTCTATCTTTATAGTGTCATTGATTTTGTGCAAAGTCTACCCAGTAGTGACAACAGATGGAGGAGAGGAAGTGATTCCCTAGCACCTTGTCTTTAATACAGATACATTGAATTTAATGGAAGAAGCTGTCCTTAATTTTTTTCTTATTTGAAATTATAATATTCACAAAAGAGTTGAGGGAATACAGGGGAAAGTGAAAGCAAAATTAAGGTAACAAATCTGTGGACATGAACCAGACATTAATAAATGCTTTTTCTACTAGCAACCTTTTGGTAGGGTTCGTATAGCTAACACACATGCAATACCTGGAAATGCTCAGTCTTGATTAAGTCAAAGGCAGAGCTAAGAAGTTCAGAAGACTTACAGAGTTAGGAGAGCATTCTGACTAAATCAAAGGACTTCATAGATCTTGTGATCTGGAACTAACACTGTGGATTCACCCTTCTAGTTACTTAGTAATGGAACTGATGGATGCCAACTTATGTCAAGTGATTCAGATGGAATTAGACCATGAGCGAATGTCTTACCTGCTGTACCAAATGTTGTGTGGCATTAAGCACCTCCATTCTGCTGGAATTATTCACAGGGTAAGAACACCTTCTCTAGGATTACAATTCAAATGCTTTAAGAGGAAGAGTAACTGTAGATTATTTTCTTTATACGGGGGGCATTGGTCAAATATAATATACTTCCTCATTTCTTTGATACTAGAATTAGCACCTAGTTCACTAATTGTAGAAGGAAATTCTAGTTATATTGTAGTTGAGTTTGTTCAATGTTATGTTTTGGCTCATTGAGATGCAGCTTCTTAGAAGCCTCATGCTTTCAGCTCCTTGATTGGCAGAAGTCATATGTGCAACTGAAATAAGAAAATTCATTTCCATAGATGTTTCTGGCAGCATAAAGACAGCTTCCCTGATCTGTTCTTCTGTCAGGCCTAGAAATGATATATATGTTGAAAGATTTATGTTGTCCTAAGGAGAAACCTAACAGAAGACAATAAATATTTTTTTTTCTAAAACCTCTTCCCAAGATTAGTGTAAATTGTGAAAATGATAATACAATTCTTTTCTGGGATTAAAACACTTTCCAAAAACTAATAGTTAACTTATTTGTAGCAGTAATCATTTGCCTTATTTAGAGCTCTGTAGGCAAGGGGGACCTCATCAGTGCTACTGCAAAATGGCTATGTTGATTGAGTCAATGGAAATAACATTTCACTTGATACTGGCTTTTAATTTTTTCCCTTATCCTTACTGTTAGGATTTAAAACCAAGTAACATTGTAGTCAAGTCTGATTGCACATTGAAAATCCTGGACTTTGGACTGGCCAGGACAGCAGGCACAAGCTTCATGATGACTCCATATGTGGTGACACGTTATTACAGAGCCCCTGAGGTCATCCTGGGGATGGGCTACAAGGAGAACGGTAGGGATGCTTCGGGAGAGCAGCATCAAAACCATGAATGAAACGGGTGCACGTTGTAGATAGCCAAGGGGAATGTTCTCTTTTATGTACATGCTTTTATAAAGTAGGGCTGCCAGATAGCATATTCAGGGTTTTTTTTAATACTACTGGTAAGAAACACTCATTAAAAATGTGAAGGATGTTATTGAGAAGTCAGTTTTGCTAGAAGAGCACTAAATGTTAATAGTGAAAAAGAATTGTAAATGGAGTCTGATTAAACAGTCAAGCGGATGCTGATTAGCACACGTGCCTAGATATTGAGAAAAATTGCTATTTGGGTTGCAGCTCAGCTGAGCATGAGTGTGAAAGCAGAAAGGAATCTACCACAGTTAGCCATGTGGCTTTTATGTTGTATCTCAGACTGATGGCTGTAGTTCTAGAAAAAGACAAGCAAAAAAGTGACACAAATCCTTAGAGTGAAAATCTTCATAGACAACTTTGAAATAATCCAAATTATTTAAACTGAATAAGAATTTCTGTAATAATTTAAGCTGCTCTGTAAGAAACATTTAGAGTAGCAATTGCCTAATAAATCCTTATATATTCCAAAAATCGTAAAAAAGGAAAATGTCAAATTTGACACTACTGCTTTCATAAAGAAAACTTAATGTTCATGAACACTTTAAAATGAAGGCTATGGAAGGAATCTTAAAAATGTATCACAATTGAGTGTAGTTGATTAAAACTAAGGATTTATTAAATATGTTAGAAAGCATTGCAATGTATTATTTTGATGAGACTATATCTTACAAGTAATGCACCATATTGAAAACATATTCAATATACTTAGGAATTAAAATAGTTTTAAATTAGGATTGTATATGTATTCAGTGTATCTTTAATATTTATTTTTATATTCTATTCTATTTAGTTTTTAGCAGTCTGTATTAATAAGTTTTATAAAAATAATCAGTGTATTTTTATGTACAGGTGCTACAGGGTACTTTTGTGAAAATTCCCTGGCCACTGAAGTTTACAGAAACTTCTTTGTATACTCTTAGATTAGAAGACAGATAATGTATGTATGCATTTATACAGAGGAAGTTAAAAAGTCACCTCTTACAAAGGTCAGGTTCACCCTGGTGGGCAATATCGGAGTTCTGGTACCTTTTGACTCAGAAGAGATGAATCTAGCCCTCCTTGCTAGGCAATACCACATCTAATTTATTCAGAAAAGAAGACATTTTTATACTTTCTTCACGAGTTATTTTTAAAAAGTCAAAGGAGAAACAAAGTCAAGAATCAAGAATGTACAGGAGACTGGGGGGTGGGGCGGTCTGAATTTGCCTATTTGGGCTTTCAGATCTTGGCACTACCAATAGCTGGTATTAAAATCCCTTTCCCTTCCCTCACTAGAAGGAATTGCAAGTTGCTGCCTTAGGTTTTTGACTTCTCTAAGTCCATGGAGGAGGCCTGCCTAGCACCCTGGTGCTGCCCTCCCACCAATGGGAGGAAGGTTATCATGCAGAAAAACCTGCTTGCTCCCACATCAGGCATGCCCTGCTGTCCCCTGCACCTAGCCCCGCCTTCCTTCCCCATGGAACAATTCGGCCAAATGATTCTGCCCAAAAGTTCCCTTTGTCCATAATGAAAAGCAAGTTGGAAAGGGGTAAAGATTGGTAAGAGAAGGCAAAGCATGTTTTCCTAACAAGTTTGACAATTTGGAAATAAATATATGTACATAACAATTTTTAACACCTTTAATACTTTTTTCACTTTCCTTCCAGATGACTCCTTTATACATGTGCTAATTCATCATATGTCTTTTTTCTTGAAATATTTCAAATGGAAACTAAAACTGATGTTTATTTACAAGAATAAACTTCTGAAGGAAAAGCTAAGTCCCAAATACCAGGAATTCCAATTCTTTTGCCTCTAAACCATGGTTCCAGTCATTTCCTGGTTTATTGGATTTGGTTGAATTTATCTTGTTTTGCCCCGGCCCCCTGGCCCCCTGAAAAAAAAGGTGGTCTCTTGTTGCCCTATTCTCTGTAACTGAATAGAATAGAAAATGAAAATAGCCAACTCTACAAGTTAATATTGTTTTCTATGCATCCGGAAAATGACACAGAAAACCCTTTGGTGGCTTTTAGCTGTCACCTGCCATGGAGATACTTTTGGTTTAGCTATTGCTTTTCTCAGTCACCAATGTCACCACTTTGTGGCACTGCTGAGAGGCAATGTAAGGCACCCACAAAGTAATGGGTTTTTAAACATTAATTTGAGTTCTCATACTAAACACTGTTTATGTAATAGCATAGCGCTGGTTTGAATTCACATTTTGGCCAACTTTTGGTGGGAGGTGAAAATTGTACTTTTAATCAAACTGTTCTTTTTCCTCCTCCTTCAGAAGTCAATTATCTTAGTTAACTTTACTTTCCTCCCTTTTCTTCACTACCCTCTCTCTCCTGTTCTAGTGGATATATGGTCTGTGGGATGCATTATGGGAGAAATGGTTCGCCACAAAATCCTCTTTCCAGGAAGGGACTGTATCCTTGTACCTTTTGCTACAGCTTTACCTGTTTTGTTCTCTCTCCCTTTTAAACACATAATGATTTTACCAGGAGAGTAAAGATAGAAGCAAAAAGTTGGGTAAGTGGTGTTATTGTAATAAAAAAGTGATAATTTCTATAATCTGACCAGTACTGAAGACTGCCTACCACAATGATTTCTTTTAATTAAATTTCAATGGGCTTTTTTCTTCTAAAATTACTTTCTTGCCTGCAACTAAAAATAGAAATGCTATTTTTCTTTAATAACAAAGGCTACCAGATCCCAAATGATTAAAATATATTTACCTTTATAACTAGCAAAATAAGTCACTATTTGCAAGTCATTTTCCATCTCCTTTCTAAAACTATTTTGTGCTTCTACAATATTTAGGCATAATAATTGCTCTCCTTGCTGACATTCTAAGCTTCTGTCTATGGCTTTGTTGATTTAAATTACTCGACACTAAATCAAGTCTTTAACAGGTCAATATAGCATATCTTCCTCAAAACATGAACTTCTGCATTTAAAAATTGTAATTATTGTTCAAGTTGCTAGTGGTCAGGTGAGTTTAATGTAGACTTCTCTCACCTGACTTGGAGATGTGACATAGACATACATGCTTGTTTTCCCAACTAAATTTATAATTTCATAAAGCAATTTGGATTTAAGTTCTACTACTGAGTCCTGCAATAGAGTCCATCAGAAATTTCTTGTAGAGCTATCTATGATTTGGAATTATCAAATGAACTGATACATTTCTTAAATGGCCAAAAATTCACTCTCTAGTAAAGGTACAGATTTGTGTTTGTAATATATAGACAATAAAG
Source organism: Homo sapiens (assembly GCF_000001405.40). Taxonomy (NCBI): domain Eukaryota; kingdom Metazoa; phylum Chordata; class Mammalia; order Primates; family Hominidae; genus Homo; species Homo sapiens. The sequence goes on along the minus strand of NC_000004.12, from coordinate 86,097,692 downwards.
TTTACATATAATAGTATAATATACTTTTAAAAATACAAAAATACCTTACTACAAATACTAGTGCAAATCTAAGTACAATCACCATTGACAACTTTAACAATTATAATACAGGATTGAATTTAGTATATTTATTACATATGGATGTTTTGGAAATTGGCAATAACCATGTGACCCATAACTCTATTAACCATTCTATTTGATTGATAAGAAAGTTTTATTAAGGAATCCTTCTATTATGTAAGAAAGGTTATGATTTTTATTGAGGTGTTTAAAAAGTCCAATAGTAAAAAACAAAAACAAAAAAACCTGACTCAACAAGAAGTGGGTACCATAATAAGCTTGTATTTAGGTAGGTATGTATTCATTCTGCTGGATATTAATGAGATAGTCTCTAAAATCCACTAGTAATGTAAGAGTGATGACATATTCTAGAACTGCACTGTCTAGTAGGTAGCCACTAGCCACATGTGGTTATTCAGCACTTGAAATTATAGTCTAAATTGAAATGTGTTTTATGTGTAAAATGCATACCAGATTTTGAAGATATTTTTAAAAGCATGTAAAATATATTACTAATAATCTTATATAGCTTGTGTTAAGGTGATAGCATTATGAATATATTGGGTTAAATATATATATCTTTTTTTATTCTTTTGAATGTGGACATTAAACTTAAAACTACGTATATGATTGGCATTTGTGACTGTCATTTTTCTATTGGACAGTGCTGGTCTAGAAGATAAGAAAACCACATGGCAACCATTTATTTATAACCAATCTTAAGGTCTTGAATCTCTGTTTGCTCCATGTTCCTTTCCTATCTATAGTGTGAAGTATCATTTTCACCATTAGATTTCATATGGCTACTTAGGAAAATTTATTTCACTTTACTTATCTATAGTTTGGGGATTAATTATATACCTAATATAGTTTATTTGAACAATATTATAGTGCACATTCATATTTAAATGTGCTGACTTTATTCAAAAGTAGGAATTATTTTCTTTATGCTTTTGCCTTTGGTATATAACACATTTTAGACAAAAAAGGAACCTCTCAATCAATACTCAGAGTGAAGTTGCACAGCCACATCTCTCTCATGCACTTGTCAGTGGAAAGCAAAAAGCCACAGGATTTCTCATTTCCATGTGACATTTTGTTACATGTCACTTGATTTCATGTAGCGAGGTTGTTCTCTGAGATCTTATTTAGCTCTTCAGGCATTTATGCGGATTGCTTTTCTTCTATTTTGACAATATTAAATTTAAAAGCCAATAAAAGAGAAAAAAAGCAAAAAGTTTTAAACTCAATCTAACCCTTCAGAAAAACAAACAAAAAAACAAAGCACCATATTGATAATTTTATTTTCTTTTAAAAATTTTTCTCTTGGAGGTGCCCCTCCCACCTTTTTTAATCCTAGTTTGTTTTAGAAAAATTTTTGGAGCTGAAATTAAATTGTGTGAAAATTAATACATAACATTTATATCCTTGATATGTATGAACCTAGACATTTAAATAATCTCTAATACAGATAATGTAGATTATAATAAAGGTTTGCATTTATTATATAAATATATATATTTCTTTATCTCAAGTGATGATTACATAGTACAGCAGTCTTTGATAGCCTAGTGCCATATGTGATAATGACCCTGCATGTGGACCTAAAAGTTAAAAAAAATTGCATAAAGACACCTACAATGGAAAGCCTTTTACTTAAGTTAAATTTTACCAAAAAATGAGTAGATATTTTCCAATGAAATAGGTTAGAAAAAATGTTTCCTTTTTGAAAATGTTTCCATTTGGATTTCTTAGCCCCTTTTACCTATAATTAAAATTATAACTTAATGTTTAAAGTTATAGTTACATTTAAAAAATAAACCTATAGAAATCTCAGTTAAACAATGTGCTTTGTTAATTTTGAGTAGAATTGTTTTATTAATCTTTAAATGAAATTATTATCATTTTATGCACAGGACTTCCTACCAACAACTGAGCAGTCAGATAACCTCTCAAACTATGACTATCAGACACAAGGCTGAGGGCTGATTCAAGTTATTTATCGGCAGAAGAATTACACAATTTTAAGCATATTGAAATTAGTCTAACATTTATTGGAAGAAATATCAAAGCTAAGTATATGCTAATTGATACCTTGACTACTTCCAGGACTCTGCAGAAATTTCAAAAAACAATCAGAGGTTCTCATGTCTTTCACCTAGAATTATTCAGAGTAATTTATATTAAATTACTTTGAGGCTGAAAAATGATGTGATAATACTATCATAATAATCAACATTTTTCTTCTCTCTTCACAGAACTTTTAAACTTGAACCCTAAGCAAAAATAGTAAAATGTCTTGACAAATCAGAGAATCTTATGAAATTGTCATTGATGACTGAAGTTTAACTACTTTCCCACATTCAAACTATCTTTGCATTTTGAGAAACATCGTGGGGGTTTCTTGGTGGTTGATATGATCTAGATGATATCACAGGGAATTGTCTTGGTTACTGAATTAGAATGTTGGCAAAATAAAATTGAACAAAATAAACAATACATATTTGCTTTTCCACTTATTAATTTGCTAATTACTTTAATATCCAGAGGATCACTTCTTAATACTTATTTTTCTTGTGTAAAGTGTTTCTTAATTATGCATACACTATCATACACTTAATTTTCACTATAGTTTTATGATTAAAACATTTCATAGCATATATTTTTACATAATGTAGTTTATTTGAACATTATAATGCACATTCATATTTAAATATGTTACTAAACATTCTTTAAACATTCTTAAACGCATGCTGACTTTCAAGTTAGAGAGTAGTAAATAGGCCAAGTCCATTATTTTTTTTTATGTAGTCCAAAGAACAGATAAAAGAAATCAGTGACTTTAGCTTCACTCAGATTTTGTTCCTTTCAATAAAATTTACAGGAAAGCAGCTTTACAATGCTTCCTTAGAAGTTTTTTCTAAGAACTATCCAGTCATTCACTGCCTCCACCACCCCAAACCCCAACCAGGACATGCCATCTTGTTGATTATCAAAGACTCCTATAGTCCCAGTATAATTTTCATGAGTCCTTTCCTCAAACCTGCTTCTTTTAGATACATTCTTCAACCTTATTTTTTCCATTCTACTTCAAATGATAGCACCTTCTTTGAGCAAACCCTGTGATGTCCCTTTATCTAAGTTCTTGGCCAATATTCTCTGGATATAAAGTTAAAGACAGGCATACTGCATGCATTTGAAAATTCTGGACCTCAAGTATATTATATCCAAAGCTAACAGCTGGACTGCTAAAATAGCTCCTCTTGCCTTTCCCTCTGAAGAACAGGAAATTGCAGTTAGAATGAAAGAGATATACATATAACCTTGCCAAGGAGCCAAGTTATTAAGGAATAGGTAAATGGTTTTCCAAAAGTATATTTGAAGAAATAAGAAAAACACCCTCAAATTAACTGAATGCTGTATCTTTTTAAAGTTTGAATATGAACATTAGGAAGGATCAAAGTAAAATGAACAAAAATTTGTGGTTACAGATTGTTATATCAATCTAGCACAGAGATATTTTAAAATTCTTCTTACCTCTTTGAAATAATAGTGCTTAATTCCTAATAAACTTTTGCAACTAACAACTTACTATATAGTCTAACTCTTTTTCTTAGAATTAAGACAATACAGAGTTATTTCAAACAATATAAAATTTATGGTTTTAAATAAAGTTAGGATGAAACAATTTAGTAGGCATTCTTTCAAATCTATAAGCAAATTGCATGTAATTATAAATAAATATTTAAAAATAAAATTATTATTTGAATTTGTTTAAAAGAATACATTTTTACCACTAGTGTGCCTGCTAACTCTTCTCTTTTGTTATTATTTTATGAAAATGTGAGGCAGGGTTCACCAGAATGGGAGCTGGAGATTCTGAGGTTGTAAAGAAATAAAAGCAAGTTTAATAGGTAGATTCAAGGAGAAAGTCTTTTTCTGATTTCCTGGCATTACAATATTTAGCATTAAGTTCTGCGAATTGTTGCTTATTTTTCTTACTTAGATTCACATGTGCAAAATATGTACATTCTTAGTTTATTTATGTATATCAGTGGTCTTTTAGAATTCTGTCTTTGAACTGAAGTTTAGTACAAGGTCCTTTTGTTAAACAACTAAATTTATGACTTAGTTAACTAATTTTAAAAGAAATGTTCTAATTTTATAACTGCTAACTTTATAACTTATAATTTTTATAAAAATTATAACAAATAATTTTCAAAGAAATGTTCTGATTTTAGAAAACTATATTAAATCTTCTTGCTATTGTGTGTTGAGTCATTCATTGAGAGAAAATTTGTCTAAATTCTACACTAAATGAAAATATACTTAGGTGTGTTAAGGAGAAGTCTCAGAAATTGTGATAAAAGAGTTACGTAATCCCCCAGAGAGGAAACATTTTCCAGGATAGAAGCTCACATAGTCTCAAAATTATTTAATTGTGGATCATAATTTAAGCTATTAGATGGAGTGTGGAAGTAGCAATATAGTTCTTTATTTATTTAGATTTAACTTCCAGGGCTTACATTGTATAATTTCTATCTCTTGGTTAGAAGTAGAAGAAAGATAATTTATTATAAGCTAATTTCTGACAAATAATGTGACATGAGATTTTCAGAGGTTCTCACTCTGAAAATTAATCATATTTTGGTAACACCAAAATTTACTCAACATTTCTTCTAAGGAAAGTGACTCAGCATCTGATTGTTACAGTTGCAAGTGAATCTGCCTTCTGCCTATGGGAATGATAGAATGATGATGAAAGAATGTGATGAATCAGAATTTTAAAAGCCAACAGAATTCTACCTTGGCAGCATTAGTGTACAGAACTCTTACAGAGACCCAGATGCTGTATCAGATTGTTTCAGAAAGCATAAAATGCAGTTTCCAACAGTGATTGAATTTGCTAATTACTTCTAAGGTCTATGCACAGTCCCTATTCATTGTAATACCTGACAATTTCATAAAATAATCTATTCTTAACTTCATTAGCAATATATATATATATATATCACTAATATATTCAGATACATATTGTATTAGTATGTTTATGTATCCTAATATAGAGATATTAGTAGAGGGAAGGCTTACTACTACTACCTTCCTGTTCAATAAGAGTTGGTATCAAATTCTTTTATTATACATTTTCTGTTAGTGGAGATGGCAAATTCATGAAGTTTGGTACAATGAGTTTATCTTGAGCCATAATCCTGTCTTGAATACATAAAAATCTATATAAATTTATGTGCATATATTCAATTTTTGTAATTCAAGATAACAGAGCTTATCATTTCTAGGCACAAGGCTTAGCATTTTGGTAGCATAGATATAAATATTCTCTAGGAATAGTGAATGGTGAGTAAAGTTAAAATGGGAATTAGAAAGATTTCCAGGATATTATCACCCATAAAGATATATTAAAATAAAGAAAATGAAATTCAATATGTACATCAGAATTTCAGATCTAGAGCCTACATCTCTGCATTATTTTTATGCAAAAGATTTGTGATCTATTAAATCTATTTTGAGTTCTGCCCATGAAGATATATATTTTAAATAAATATTCTTCTTTTACATTGGAGTATCTCCCAGATCCCCCACACCAAAAAGAGAACTGTGAGATATACCAGTTATTAATACCAGTTATTAAATCAACAACTGGGCCAGGCATGGTGTCTCATGCCTGTAATCCCAGCACTTTGGGAGGCCGAGGTGGGCAGATCACAAGGTCAGGAGATCAAGACCATCCTGGCCAACATGGTGAAACCCCACCTCTACTAAAAATACAAAAATTAGCTGGGCGTGGTGGCGTGTGCCTGTAATCTCAGCTACTAGGGAGGCTGATGCAAGAGAATCACTTGAACCCAGGGGGCAGAGGTTGCAGTGAGCCAAGATCGTGCCACTGCAATCCAGTCTAGTGACAGAGCTAGACACTGGCTCAAAGAAAAAAAAAAATTAACAACTGTATAGAACCAACTGGTGCTAAAGCAACATAGAGACCAGAATTTAATTTAGGCCATCTGTTGTTATTGTTGTTGCTGTTGTTTAAAGGCATGTGAAGAACAGCAAAAAAAAAAAAAAAAAAAAAAAAAAAAATCAAGGGATTTTAGCCTGAAAGATAAAATTGGCCAGTTTTAGGAGAGGAATGGTTAGGGATTACAGGTTATAGTTACATACTTTAAGGTTCTTATTTGGATGAGGAAACACAGTAGTTCCTGTTTACATAGTGAAGAGAAGTTCCATAGAGTCAATGTGAGTCAATATGTAGGATGCCTTTCTAAGTGGTTTCAACAATAAAATAGATTGCCTAGTGAGTGGTGAGATTCCTCCACTGGAAAGATTTCTTTATTATAGATGTAAATATATAATATAATTATGTAAATTTAAAATAAATAAACCTTTTCCAAAGATATTTAATTCCCAAATATAATTTTAATATATTATTTAATACATGATGATTTGATATGTAAATAATATTTATTGGGGACTTGCTATGTACCAGGCAGTTGTGCAAGGATCTTTATCAGACATAACTTTTTCAAGTCTTTTATAAAACTCTACATAATAAATACAGCTTATCATCAATATTTTAGGGGATAAAATTGAGGTTTAGAGAGAAGTAACCTGGCCAAGGTCACATAGTTGGAAAGTAATAGAATTGGTTCTCTAGCAGAAAAAGATGAATATATTGCCAGAGATATTGTAAAAAACAATTTTATACTAAATGAGAAATAGAAATAGATGTTTCCTAAGTCCCAGACAGGTTAATGGCAGAAACCATTTTTTTTCTAAACATTTGAATGGAGACAGGCAAGAGAAAACACTGCATATTGAGATTTTTGGTCTCAATGTTTTTTGTATATCTCTTCCACAATATCTATAAAATATAGATAATCCATAAATAGCAATTTAGTCAAACTGGTCTCTTTGGACAGTATGATAGGAATACTTGGAATTTAAAAATAAATATGTTTTCCGTTTTTTTCTTTAATCAAAGATTTCTCAATACCATCCTGTTGTGAGACAGATATTACTTGAAATTACAAACACGTTAATAATAAAGGGATGCACAACTGTTTGCTCTATCTTTCCCTGATATTTCTGCATGTCAGTTGCTTTCCTAAACTGGAAGCAAAACAAATTTGCTTCTTTGGGTATGCTTATCACCTTCAAAGCCGTAACCGTTTCTTTGCAGTGATCACTTTGTTTAGGTGTTAAATCAAACAATGGAAACTTTGAGTTTAACCCGAGTGAGATTTTCACATTGGAATGAATCTCATGAGGATCTCTTTAAGGTCACTGCCAAATTACAAGATGTAATTTGAAAAGTAAGTGGAGCAAAATTATATTGTGCTGCTATCTTAATGCCTTTCCCTATTTGCTCCCCCCCAGCATCCCTAATTCTTCTGTTTATTTTTCCCCCCACAAGAATGCCCTCTCTTTCTGATTTTTAAGTACAACAAGTGAGTAACCAAGTGTAGCTCAAGAGAGAGATTTCACTTTCTTGCTTCACCCTTCCCCATTTTGCCCCTCCCTCTGTGCGCTCTGCCCTGGCTTCCTGGTTTTAAGTTCTGGATGATACTTGGCAATAACAGAGAGACCATTATAATTCCACCTTGAATTCCAGGTTTCTTTTGATTCACAGTTTCAGAAGAAGTATCAGCTCTTTAGTCATGTTGTTTATTTCACATTGAGCGATCCCATTTTGAAAGCCAGCTTTTCTTATCATTATAAGGCAACTGTGTTTATAAGAATAAGACAAGGCTTCCTGCTGAGAAACATGCTCCTTTGATGAGAGTCAATGACACTAAGACAACATATTCTGAAACATTCATTCTTGAACTGGCTTTTCACTTCTGGAACTGTATTTATATTTATAAATAAGGGTAAATGTGTTTTATAAAAGAAACTCTTTTGAGGTTGCTGGCAGCTCAGCTTTTCTTTTTTCTTTTTTCAAATACGTATACAAGAGTAAAAAAGAAACTGATTTGCATATTAACACTATCTAGAATAATTTATGATAAAAATCAGTAGGATTCTAGTAAATGAATGCAAATTAGACCTTTTAAATCAAAACCTAAATTAATCATTGAGTTATAATTGCAAAGTAATATTATTCTACATTAGGTAGCATTGGGTAGTGTTGTTATTTCTGTTATATGACAGAAAAGGGCCTTGAGAGCCTATGTTCTCCCCTTTCCACCATTTAAAATGCTAATGATCATGCCACTGGCCTCTCATCCAGTCAGTGAAAAGTCAGACTATTGCTCTATGGCATGAGTAGCCCAGTGTTTTCATTTATTTGTTGTTCTATTCCTGTGTTCTTGTTTATCTTCATTTCATTTTTGTTTTCAGTTGACATGTGGTCAGTAGGGTGCATCATGGGAGAAATGATAAAAGGTGCAGTGCTGTTTCCTGGCACTGATCGTATCCTTCTTAGCAGCCAGTGGTATCTATGGGTGTCACTCTCAATTAATTCCCTTTTGTCTCAAATGCAGTACTGCTTATGGTATTTGTTCACTGTCCTTAGAGAGTTTCTATGAGACTCAATGTCAAATATTTACAAGTTGGCATTATGGCAGAGTAACTTTGTCTCCTAGTAAGACCTTATGTGGATAATACAGTAACAAATATGAAAGAGTCAACCTGATATCAAAAGGTCTGCCTTAATTCAGTTCTACCAAACTGATAACATTGAGTACTCTTCTTTCTTGTTTTTGTTGTAGATGTTTCAAAATGAAGATATATTCATAGCTAGATAATAAATAAAGTCTTTCAGTTCTAAGACTGAAGATTTATACTTTGATATAATGAGAAATATTCATTTGGCATGGAAATTTTTATCAGATTCATGTTCCTCCACAAATACTAATTGGTTTATTTTAACATATATTCAGAGAGCATGGATGTGAATTTCATTTTACAATTGATCAAGTTTTTCTAAAATTATTTTTCTTATTCACTCCATTTATGGGAATAATAGCTCTAATTCCTTCTCTTATTTTCTGCATATTATTAACAAGTGCAATAATTAAAACCTCATTAATAATGGTTATATAAAATATCTGAAGAAATACATTGAAATCACTTGAATAAGTAAAAGTGATTCTCTCTTAAGCAGCAAATAATTAACAAGTAAAGATCAAGACCAGATGTGGTAGCTCATGCCTGTAACCCCCAACACTTTGGAAGGCTGAAGTGGAAGGATCACTTGAGCCCAGGAGTTTGAGACCAGCCTAGGCAAGAGAGCAAGACCCTTGTCTCTACAAAAAACAAAAATAAAAAATTTAGCCGGGCACGGTGAAAGTCCCTGTAGTCTCAGCAACAAAGAAACTAGCTGGGAGGATAGCTTGAGCCCCCAGTGTCAAAGCTGCAGTGAGCAGTGATCGTGCTGCTGCACTGCAGCCTAGGTAGGCAACAGAGTGAGACCCTGTCTCTAAACAAACAGACAAACAAACAAAAAGATTCCAGAGGTTCTGCAGTATTAAATAGATATGAATAGTGTGCGATTAGTGATTAGTATATGGATGTGTCATGGGTCCTGTTAAATATCCCTCTACACTTAGTCACTTATGAAAGTTTTATGTCTTCATCCTACTAAAGGTAAAACCTCTGCTTTAATAAAACACTTCAAAAATAAAATTGAGCCTATAATAATGGGGTTTTAATGTGTAATTAGACTAAATCTAATTACTAATATAGTGCATCCATACCATATTATGATTAGCCATTTGCGTTGTTTCTAATATCTACATTATAATTTTTTATCAAATGTCTATAATGTAATATACACACTTGAGGATTAATATTTGTATCTGGTTTTACATATATGAATATATATATATGGCTTCATACATATATTCTCTCTACATATTAAAAGAAAAAGTTCTGGAAATGGCTGTATTAGGCACTCAATTTTTGTTGGAAGAAAGGACTTAAAATACTTCAGTTAAAAATAGTTACACTGTTTTTACTTCTGATTATTCTTACTAAAAACTTTTTTCTAATCTTCTGTTTGACACACATTTTAAAAAGTCTTTCTGTCTATAGTGCTGTTTTGTCTTCTAAATATACATTTTATTAAATGACGTCTATAATTTACCACATCAACATTAATGCTATTTGAAACTAGCTGGCTTTATAAAAACTGAATTCCTTCAGATTTCTTAAAAATCAGGAGGGATTTTAAAAAACAGGACTTCTTTTATTCCCAATGAATTATAAACTTGTGTTTGGCCTTTGGGCATGAATATGAAATTGTCTTTAAGTTTTGGCTGATTTTAGATAATTTGATGAAAATAGACTCAATTTGTTAACTTAGTACTCTTTGCTTTTCCAGAAGTTCATTGTGGTTGAATAATTGGTGACTAAAATGAATATTTGCCACCTGTAAATTAAAATGAGTGTTTTTATGATCTTTGTTATGTTTCTATTAAGAAAAATTAAAACAGATTTCTACAACTGAATTACCAAATACAATTTAACATTTTTTAGAATAGTTTCTTGGGAAAAGTTGCTCGTGTGTCATTTTTTAACTTGGGTGTCAAAATTCCTTGTAAACAATGCTTTAGGGCTCGGGTAATGTGGCAGTATCCTGTTCAAAGCCCTTGATATTTGGATATGAAGTCCTTTATGGAGCTCTTGTATGGGGACATATTTGTAAATTTCTTGGAGGACAAATAGGAATCATTTTCTAAAGTATGTCTTCTGATCGTGGGCTGTGGTCTCAATGATTTCAAACATGTTGGTTAAAGTTTTAAATCAGTCTTAAAGCAAACAAATTTTGAACACTGAATATCAAATAATTAACCTCTTAATGTATAAGACATTACTGATTTAAAAAATTCTGTTATTAGAAATGAGTTACTGAAAATACAATAAAATTATACCTAAATCTATTAAATAGAGACATTAAAATAGAGCTGGAGATATGCCATATTATAATGTATACCTATATAGTACATTATAAGGAGTTATGTTATTTTTAGTCAATATATCCTCATTTATATAAAAGCATTCTCAAAACAATGATTTCTAAAAGCTCTTGGAATATGAGCTATGCATGACTTTTTTTAATTTTTAATTTTTCTGGGTACATAATAGCTGTGTATATTTATGGGGCACATGAGATGTTTTGATACAGGCATGCAATGCATAATAATCACATCATGGAAGATGGAATATCCACTCCCTCAAGTATTTATCCTTTGTGTTACAAACAATTCAATTATACTCTTTTAGTTATTTTAAAATGTACAATTAAATTATTATTTACTGTAGTCACCCTGTTGTGCTACCAAATACTAGATCTTATTAATTCTTTCTAACTTTTTATTTTAGCCGTTAACCATCCCCACCCACCACCTCCTCTGCTATCCTTTCCAGCCTCTGGTAACCATCCTTCTACTGTCTATCTCGATGAGTTCAATTGTTTTGATTTTTTAAATTAATTTTAATTTTAAGTTCCAGGGTACATGTGCAGGATATGCAGGTTTGTTACACAGGTAAACGTGTACCGTGGTGGTTTGCTGCACCTATCCACCCATTACCTAGGTATTAAGCCCAGCATGCATTAGCTAGTTTTCCTAATGCTCTCCCTCCACCCACCCAGCTCCCCTGACAGGCCCCAGTGTGTATTATTCCCCTCCCTGTGTCCATGTGTTCTCATTGTTCATCTCCCACTTGTAAATGAGAACATGCAGTGTTTGTCTTTCTGTGCCTCGCTTATTTCACTTAACATTTTTAAATGTACCACATTTTCTTTATCCATTCATCTGTTGATGGATGCTTAGGTTGCTTCCAAATCTTGGCTATCGTCAACAGTGCTGCAACAAACACGGCAGTGCAGATATCTCTTCGATATACTGATTTCCTTTCTTTTGTTTATATACCCAGCAGTGGGATTGCCAGATCATATGGTAGCTCTATTTTTAGTTTTTTGAGGAACCACAGAACTGTTCTCCTAGTTATTATGATAATTTACACTTCCAGGAATGTGCAAGTGTTCCCTTTTCTCCACATCTTCACCAGCATTTGTTGTTGCCTGTTTTTGGATATAAGCTCTTTTAACCGGGGTGAGATGATATCTCATTGTAGTTTTGATTTGCATTTCTCTGATGATCAGTGATGTTGAGCACTTTTTCATATGCCTGTTTGTTATTTGCATATCTTCTTCTGAGAGATGTCTATTTAAATCTTTTGCCCATTTTTAATCGGATTATTAGATTTTTTTCCTATAGAGTTGTTTGAGCTCCTTATATATTCTGGTTATTAATTCCTTGTCAGATGAGTAGTTTGCAAATATTTTCTCTCATTCTGTAGGTTGTCTCTTCACTTTGTTGATTGTTTTCTTTGCTGTGCAGAAGTTTTTAGCTTGATATGATCCCATTTGTCCATTTTTACTTTGGTTGCTTGTGTTTGGGAGGTATTACTCAATAAATTTTTGCCCTGACCACTGTCCTAGAAAATTTCCCCAGTGATTTCTTAAAGAAGATTGATAATTTGAAGCCTTATATTTATGTCTTTAATTCATCTTGATTGGATCTTTGTATATGGTGAGAGATAGGGATCTAGTTTTATTCTTCTGCATGTGGATATCCAGTTTTTCCACACCATTTATTGAAGGGACTGTCTTTTCCCCAGTGTATGTTCTTGGCACCTTTGTTGAAAATGAGTTCACTGTAGGTGTGTGGATTTGTTTCTGGGTTCTATCTTCTGTTCTATTGATCTATGTGTCTGTTTTTATGCCAGTATCATGCTGTTTGGTTACTATAGTTCTGTAGTATAATTTGAAGTCAGGTAATGTGATTTCCTCCAATTTTGTTCTTTTTGCTTAGGATAGCTTTGGCTGTTCTGGGTCTTTTGTGGTTCCATATAAACTTCAGGATTGTGTTTTCTATCTGTGAAGAACACCATTCGTATTTTGATAGGGACTGCATTGAATCTGTAGATTGCTTTGGGTAGTATGGACATTTTAACAATATTGGTTTTTCCAATCAATGAATATGTAATATCTTTCAATTTTTTGTTTCCTATTCAATTTTTTTATCAGTGTTTTATAGTTTTTATTGTAGAGATCTTTCACTTGTTTGCTTAAGTTACTTCTTAGGTATTTTATTTTATTTGTAGATATTATAAATGGGATTACACTTTTGATTTCTTCTTCAGATTGTTCACTGCTGTCATATAGAAATGCTACTGATTTTTGTATGTTGATTTTGAATCCTGCAACTTTACTGAATTTATCAATTTGAATAGTTTTTTGATGGAGTCTTTGCTTTTGCAAGCATAACATCATATCATCTGCAAACAAGAGTTACTTGACTTCTTCTTTTCCAAGTTGAGTGGCCCAGAAAGGCGGTCCAAGAGCCAAATCTTGAAATTGGTAACTCAAGAGCCTGCTTGGCACTCTACCCACACTGTGGCCAAGCTGGTACCTAAGGTACAAGACAAAGTCCCCTTTACTTTCCCTCTGCTTTTTTGTCTCGCCCCATAGTCACCACAACTGGGAATGTGCTGAGTCTCACCTGAGGCCAGCAAGTCTCAGAGTTTCACCCAAGGCCCTCAGCATAGTACCTGGGTATGCTGCTGGTTATTCAGGGACCAAGGACTCTTCAGTTAGCAGGTGATGAATCCTGATATGACTGGGTCTTTCTGTTTAAGGCCATGGGTTCCCTTCTGTCCCAGGGTGTGTCTAGAAATATCATCTGGGAACTGGGGCCTGGAAGGGAGGCCTCACAACTCTGACTGGTGCCCTAGCCTACTGTGGTTGAGCTGATATCCAAAATGCAAGACAAAGTTCTTTTCACTCTTTCCTTTCCTCTCCTCATGTGGATGGAAGAGGTCTCTTTTGGAGCCATGAGCTATGCACCATGGGGGTAGAGGAGGGGTGATGCCAGCACCCCCTTAGCTGCCCTGGCTGGTATCTCAGTAGGTCACATGCCCCAAAAGTCCATTGACTCTGGGCCCAGTTCAGGACTAGGACTTTCCTAGGAGTTGCAGTCCTAGTGACCTAGAAAGGCAGTGACCTGCCTTTCAAGTTTATTCTCAGCCTCAGAGCAGTTTAGCCTGCAGTGGTAAGGCTTGTGGGATCTCAAGTTCTGACTGCTGGGATTGGCGATTCCCCTCTGGCCAGGGCTGGTTTAAATGCTCCTTCCGTGGGCAGGTGTCAGCTGAATTTGGTTTGTTTTTACTTTCTGCTATAACAAGGGCAGCACTGAGTTCATTTCCTCACAAATGCTATGCTCTCCCTCTCCCCAGCACACGGAATTGTTGCTGGAGGATGGGGAAGGGGTGGCGCTGGCAATTAAAGACAGTTTCTCCTGCCTCTTCAGTGCTTCTTTCAGCAATGTGGAATTAAAACCAGATACTGTGAGTGGTCATCTGATTTTTGGTCCTTATGAAGGTGCTTTTTGGTGTAGGTAGTTGTTAAATTGGGGTCCTTTCAGGGGGGATGATTGGTGGAGCCTTCTATTTTGCCATCCTGCTCTGCCTCCCCAGACACGTCTTCTTAATATATGAACTAACTCAAGAACAAAACTTAAAATGTTAAAAAGATATTATATCTTTTATCTTTTGGGCCTAAAAAGGTTTAACACATTGTTTTTAGTAGGTATTTTAAGTATATGTGCCAAGTCTGTCCCGCAGACTCTGGCTGAGTGATGGATGACAAAAGTACTCTGACACAGGTATTTTGCCTGACAGCATGGCTAGATGGACTGCACCCCTTAGCACTGCCAATGAAAGTGCAGTGCAACCCAGAGTGCAGCCCCCATAAGCCTGTGACACTTGCATTTATTTAGTACAGATTTAATGACAAAGGATTGGAGCAAACACAATTTGTGGGTAATTAACTTTGCCAACCCCCTGAGTAGAGAGCAGTCCTGTGCAGGAATGATCAAAGGTTGGTTTCTGGAGACATAAGTAAACCAACTTATCTAGATAAGTTCCTTTACATTCCCTTGTTATCTACCCTTTGCCTTCAGGTTCTGGATAACAGAATTTGGCTGCCTTCAGCCATTTCTCCTTCGAAGCTTTTGCAAAACCTCCTGGCCTTCCAAGAAGGTTTGAGTCTTTCCCTATAACTTTTTCTTACAACTTTTCCCGCCACCCTGACTGAACTCCTACATATATGTTAATTGAATTTTATTCAATCAAATGTGTTTTTAATGCTCTACAAATGAATCAACATTTAACTGTTGGGATAATTTGGAAGGAGGGGGAGATGTAATGAATTTTATCATAGCTGACATTTTTACTTAAGAAATTATAAAATATTTTATATTAAACAAGTGAGTTAATATGAAATGCATAGCTTTTGAAGAAGATTAATAAATAGACACACATATGCTACCACTCAGGTTAAAAAATAGACCATTACCAATACTTTCAAATATTTTTATGTGCTCCACCTACCACAACCTTCCTTTTCCACACAGAGTTAGCCACAGTTCTAAATATTTCTTTTTACTATCTCTGTGACTTTCCTTATGTTTTTACTACCTGCATATTTATCCTTAAGCAATCTATGGTTTAGTTTTATTTATTTTACATACCATACTGTCATCGTTATCTTGTGACTCACTTTTTAAAAAATTAACATTATATTTTTTAGATTTATTCCTGTTCATGGACTGGACATAGTTAACTCATTTTCATTGCTGAATAGTATTTCAGTCTATGAGTATCTATAACTAACCCATTATCCTATAAGTAGACTTTGGAATATATACGGATTTTACTGTTTTTTTTTTTCTTTTATAAACCATGGTACTATAAATATATGCTTATAAGAGCACATGTGCAAGGTTTTCTTAATAACAATGCCAGGGGTCATAGGCATACACATTTTAAACTTTGCTGTGTAACATCAAATTGATTTCTAGAGTAGTATGTAGCTGTCTGCTCCACATCCTCATCAACTTTTGCCATTGTCATATTTATTTTTAAATTTGTTACCAATCCCTTGGATATAAAATACTATTTCACTGGAGGTTTAATTTACATTTCCTTGTCTACAAGGGAGGCTAAGGATCTTTTCCTGTGTTCATTGGCCACTATTATTTTCCCTTGGTAAAATATCTTTTTTATAAACAAAGAATGAACACATTTTTTTCTATTGTGCTTTTTTTTTCTGTTGATTAGTAGACATTCCTTATATAATTTGGCACCTAATTTTTGTGAGTTTTATGTGTTGCAAATATCTTCTTGTATTTGGATTATTTTCCCATTTTATTTTATAATAGTTTTAGAAGTTGGCAATCTGTCTTTTCCTATAATTTATATGTTTTATGTCTTAAGAATCCTTTTATAACATTATATTGTGCTATAACTTTACTGGAAATATTTTAAAGTTTAGTCTCTTACATTTAAACCATTAGTCCACATGGAATTGATTTTTTTGTGTATGTGTGAAAGAAGGACCTACTTTATTCCAGTTTCATTTATTGACTAACTTACTCTTTCTTCACAGATCTATAATTCTGTCTCTCTAATAAGTTTCCACATATTTGCAGGGGGATGTTAAGTCCTGGGCTGTATATTCTGTTCCACTGGTTTGTTTGTCTATCTCTGCACCATGAACACCCTTTCTTAATGAATATAAATGTATGCTCTGCACTTATATTAGGTAAGGTAAATACCTTTCATTTTTGTCATCTTCAGAATTATCTTGACTCTTAATGCACCATTGCTCTTCTATTAAGATTTTAGAATTGGCTTACTAACTTTAAAAAAAGATCCCTATTGGTATTTATTTTGGAGTCGTATTTAAAGCTCAATTTTGTATACAATGCTATTTTAATTAAGATGATTCTTTTAATCTTTCTTCTCAACATAAAAGGATCTTGGCACATGTTCATTTAGATAGTTGTTGTCCTGACTTAAATATGCTATCGATGTTCAGTATTTTAGTTTTCTTTTTAGGCTCATAAATTGACAATATTATGATTTTTTTGCATAAAGGTAGTTTGTTTAGATTCACCCTTATGATTGCCATTTGTTTGGCTTACCACTACTTCTTACATTTTGACCTTTTATTTTGAGATTATTATTTTTTTCTCCCGAAGTACGTATTTTGGAAGTATCTTTAGTGGAGTCCTTGATAATAAAACTCTTATTTTTAATTGAGGTTCCCTTACCTGAAATATAGTTTAGTTAGATATAGAATTTTACATTGAAATTTATTTTATTTTTGGCATCTTAAAGATATTATTCTACTTGCTTTTTGTTTACAGTATTGCTGGTAAATAAAGAGTTGTCAGTGTAATAGTCATTTTAGGAGATAATCTGCTCTTTTCCTTCATTTGGGATTTTTTTTTTTGGTCTTTGATTATCTGCTGTTTCTCTACTACGAGACTAGGCATGGATTTCTTTTTATTTATCTTCCTTGAGAGTCATTGTTTCCTAGATTCCAACCTTTATTCAATTACTGGAATTTCTCAGCTGTCGTTTCTTCGAATATTTTATTTTTTTCATTCTTTATATTATGTGTGTACAAAACTCTGGACATAAAATAGACATTCATTTATAACATAAATATTTTTGAGTACCTACTATGTACTGGGTACTTTTTGTCTCCAGAGATATATTAGTAAACAAAACAGATAAAAATTCTTATTACCATGATACTTACATTAAAAGGTGCAGAATACTAGAAGAAGGTGATAATAGCTGCAGAGTAAGAGAGACCAAAAGACCAAAATGCTAGCATGGGGGCAGGGATTACTTCTATCTTCCTTTTTAAATTTAAATATCAAAAGTTTTTTCAGCTATGCTTTAAGTGGCAGGTTTTCTTACCTCATATAAGCTTGATTGCCTCTTCTTAACTTCCATTGTATGTAGTGTTATATACAGAAGTGAAAGTATCTTTCCCGATTTGGTCTTACAGAACAGAGTACAGTGTCCTTAAATTTCTCTTAAGTAGATTCTATATTTCTGTTCGTGTAGGCTGTTTGTATCAGCTTCTTTGTTTATAATTATTTACCAAATTGAAAAGGACTTTAATATTTTTCAGCTTTAAAATAGAGATGCCAAATTACATGATCTCCAAGGCCTCTTCTCATTTTCAAAATACTATCACAGGCTGAGAGAATCAAATCCAGCATTTTTGAGGTCAGAATATCATACAACTGAAGGTGGGTGCTATTTACAAAAAATAAAATTACCAGTAAAAAATTAGTCTTGTAAGAGGCCTGTGCAAATGGAACACCCCAAAGATTAACCTTCAACAGCTTAATGAAAATTCTGCCATTGCTACACATATTAATATATATGTTACATGTCTCTCCATTTTTTTATTTGTAAGTAAAGATAGATTATAATAGTGAATAGATTTATAGCATGCTTCAAACAGCCTTTGGATATTCCATGTCCCTTATTATAACACTAGCAATGTGCTAGTGTCAGTGTACAAATAGCCTTTTACTTAATTTGCCAGCTTCATATTTTGGATGTGTTTTGGCTTATAATTCCTCTTCCTATGCTCATTTATAATTAAAACAGATGTTAGTTACAATTGTTTATTAAGTCACTTATTCATATTTCCTGTTACCAGAATCTGACAAGGACTTTTGAGAGGAAAAGAACATTTTCAAATAAAAAATACCCTAAAAACATTTTTCTTTTTCTTTTTTTGGGGGGGTGGGGGACAAAGTTTCACTCTCGTTGCCCAGGCTGGAGTGCAATGGTGCTACCTCTGCTTACTGCAACCTGTGCCTCATGGGTTCAGGTGATTCTCTTGCCTCAGCCTCCTGAGTAGCTGGGATTACAGGCATGTGCCACCACACCCAGCTGCTTTTGTATTTTTAGTAGAGACGGGGTTTCTCTATGTTGGTCAGGCTGGTCTTGAACTCCCAGGCTCAGGTGATCCTCCCGCCTTGGCCTCCCAAAGTGCTAGGATTACATGCATGAGCCTCTGTCCCTGGCCCCTAAAAACATTTTTAAAGAAACAAAACAATTAGAAACATAACCATGAAAATCTAGATTCAGAACTCTATCATATGTTTGTGTGTGTGTGTGTGTGTGTGTGTATATATATATATACATATGTATTTCCTTATACTTGTTTTTAGAAAAAAATTCTTTTAACAACAAATTTAATCACAAAGAACTATAATTAGTACTTTCCATGGGTACTACTCCCCAGGTAATAGCAGCATACAATTTCAGTTCTCCCACAGATGATGAGGGGCAGAATTCTTCTCCCTCTACTAGGAGACTGCATGTGCCACTTACTGTAATTTCCCATGGCCTTTGCAGGAAAATTACATGGGGCAAAGAAATAAAGATGAGCACTTTTCTTTCTCTGAGTATTCTCAGGTGAATGACCCCCAAGTTAACAAACAGGTGTGGAATAATCTTTTGGTGAATTTGATCCTATTCTAATTTGTGTCATAAAACTGAAACATGTTAGTATTTTACTCTTACATTTGGACTTAGTAACTCACAAGAGACTTTTTAGTATATTCTACATTAGTATTTCTCAAAATATAATCCCATCCTTGATTACAATTACCACTGGTGTTTTTTATGATATCAGCCCAGACCTGTGGACTCAGAATCTTGTAGATCAATGAGTAGGGAGGAGGGATATGTATTTTTGTAAGTTCCCTGCGTTACGAATATTCAAGTTTGGGAACCACAGTTTAATATAATGATGCTTAACACATGGCATATGTGCTTCAATTTCCTTATTGTGCATCTGTTGCAGACATTACTAACTGATCACAAAATTCTTTCCTACGAAGCTAATATAAAGCCACACAAGCCTACTCAACATTGTGCCTAAACAGCTGTTTGGCGTGCATGATAAAAGCCTCTCCTGGAACTATTCTATAACGACATTGCTATTAGGCAATATTGTCTTTAAGAACATAGCTAATAATTTAGAGATAAACACTGATGTTCTTTAAATTGCAAAGAGAGGTCAGAAAATTTTTGCACAAAGTATTGGATATAAGGCCTAGAGCAGAGTACAAAGCAAGTCAGAAACTATGAGGTGTTGGCTCTGGAAATCACATTCATAGTAACAAAAAGCAATCAATGATAGAAGAAAACATAAACAGAAGATATAGTCATTCAAAGGAAACAATTGGATGAGGCCATTAAATAGTTCCTTATGATTCCACTTAGTAAGTTCTGAAGGCTTAAATATGGATGGCATAAATTCTGTTCATAATTTTGACCCACAATACGCAGAAAAGGATTAGTCTTATAAGGGGCCTGTGCAAATGAGAGGCCCAAAAATTGCCCTTTTCATATATTATGTTCAAGGCATTATCGTTTTAGAAAGTTCCCTAACAAAGGAAGCTAAAGTAAGAGAAGTGCTTGAAATATAAGTTATTAGCTAATTGATAA
Organism: Homo sapiens; assembly: GCF_000001405.40. NCBI lineage: Eukaryota > Metazoa > Chordata > Mammalia > Primates > Hominidae > Homo > Homo sapiens. The sequence continues at coordinate 86,077,277 of NC_000004.12, read as the reverse complement.
TATTAATTGGAAAAATTTTCAATCTTAGGATTTCAGATACTCATTTTTACTATTCATATTTACTTTGTTTTATTCTATTATAATACTATTTATTGAATACCTTAGTAATATCACATTTGTACATTATCTGGACATCATGCCCTACTTATAAAATTGAACTTCTTACAATATAACTCTACTTTTATGTAGTCAATTTAGAATTATATCAGGTGATTTACTGTCAAATAATTCTTATTAAATGCCATTTTTCCATTTGTATTCAATGCATTTCATAATTTATGTTAAGGGTGATAATTTCTGAAACAGCACATCAAAAATATAAAAAATATACTTATTGCTTTTCTGATAACCTCACAGGGCTAAGATCTGTAAATCCTTACTCTATGTGGTATAAAAATGGTAATTTATGGGTATTCTAAAGCAAATAAATTCTTCTACAAAAAATGGTTTTGGTCATTCTTTAAAAACATATTTACCATGTTAACAATTAATACATAATCATAAAATCTAGTTAATATTTTATGTACTTTAAAAATGTAATCCTTGTGGAAATCTGTTTTCCCATTTAAAAATCACCTTATTTTCTATATAAAATATTGATAAAATTAATTGTTTTACAGGAATATGTTGGCCTGATAGACTAAGGAAGGGGCTTCAGAAACATTCTTTAAGGGAGTTGCTTGTGACAAAACACACCATTAACTTTATGGCCAAATTAAAACAATTTTTTACCATATCAATTCCAAATTTACTTTTTCTTACTGGAATACTTGAAACAAGCACTGAACATGGAAACAGGAGATAGGAGTTCCAGTCTTCGTTTATGTTAGGTTAATTGTTATTATAAAGAAAAATCATGGGGAGGAGCCAAGATGGCTGAATAGGAACAGCTCCGGTCTACAGCTCCCAGCGTGAGCGACGCAGAAGATGGGTGATTTCTGCATTTCCATCTGAGGTACCGGGTGCATCTCACTAGGGAGTGCCAGACAGTGGGCGCAGGCCAGTGGGTGCGCGCACCGTGCGCGAGCCGAAGCAGGGCGAGGCATTGCCTCACCTGGGAAGCACAAGGGGTCAGGGAGTTCCCTTTCCGAGTCAAAGAAACGGGTGACAGACGCACCTGGAAAATCGGGTCACTCCCACCCGAATATTGCACTTTTCAGACCGGCTTAAAAAGCAGCGCACCACGAGACTATATCCCACACCTGGCTCGGAGGGTCCTACGCCCACGGAATCTCGCTGATTGCTAGCACAGCAGTCTGAGATCAAACTGCAAGGCCCCAGGAGGGCTGGGGGAGGGGCGCCCGCCATTGCCCAGGCTTGCTTAGGTAAACAAAGCAGCCTGGAAACTCGAACTGGGTGGAGCCCACCACAGCTCAAGGAGGCCTGCCTGCCACTGTAGGCCCCACCTCTGGGGGCAGGGCACAGACAAACAAAAAGACAGCAGTAACCTCTGCAGACTTAAATGCCCCTGTCTGACAGCTTTGAAGAGAGCAGTGGTTCTCCCAGCACGCAGCTGGAGATCTGAGAATGGGCAGACTGCCTCCTCAAGTGGGTCCCTGACCCCTGACCCCCGAGAAGTCTAACTGGGAGGCATCCCCCAGCAGGGGCACACTGCCACCTCACACAGCAGGGTATTCCAACAGACCTGCAGCTGAGGGTCCTGTCTGTTAGAAGGAAAACTAACAAACAGAAAGGACATCCACACTGAAAACCCATCTGTACATCACTATCATCAAAGACCAAAAGTAGATAAAACCACAAAGATGGGGAAAAAACAGAACAGAAAAACTGGAAACTCTAAAACGCAGAGCATCTCTCCTCCTCCAAAGGAACACAGTTCCTCACCAGCAACAGAACAAAGCTGGATGGAGAATGACTTTGACGAGCTGAGAGAAGAAGGCTTCAGATGATCAAATTACTCTGAGCTACGGGAGGACATTCAAACCAAAGGCAAAGAAGTTAAAAACTTTGAAAAAAATTTAGAAGAATGTATAACTAGAATAACCAATACAGAGAAGTGCTTAAAGGAGCTGATGGAGCTGAAAACCAAGGCTCGAGAACTATGTGAGGAATGCAGAAGCCTCAGGAGCCGATGCGATCAACTGGAAGAAAGGGTATCAGTGATGGAAGATGAAATGAATGAAATGAAGCGAGAAGGGAAGTTTAGAGAAAAAAGAATAAAAAGAAATGAGCAAAGCCTCCAAGAAATATGGGACTATATGAAAAGACCAAATCTAGGTCTGATTGGTGTACCTGAAAGTGATGAGGAGAATGGAACCAAGTTGGAAAACACTCTGCAGGATATTATCCAGGAGAACTTCCCCAATCTAGCAAGGCAGGCCAACGTTCAGATTCAGGAAATACAGAGAACGCCACAAAGATACTCCTCGAGAAGAGCAACTCCAAGACACATAATTGTCAGATTCACCAAAGTTGAAATGAAGGAAAAAATGTTAAGGGCAGCCAGAGAGAAAGGTCGGGTTACCCTCAAAGGGAAGCCCATCAGACTAACAGCGGATCTCTCGGCAGAAACCCTACAAGCCAGAAGAGAGTGGGGGCTAATATTCAACATTCTTAAAGAAAAGAATTTTCAACCCAGAATTTCATATCAGGCCAAACTGAGCTTCATAAGTGAAGGAGAAATAAAATACTTTACAGACAAGCAAATGCTGACAGATTTTGTCACCACCAGGCCTGCCCTAAAAGAGCTCCTGAAGGAAGCGCTAAACATGGAAAGGAACAACCAGTACCAGCCACTGCAAAATCATGCCAAAATGTAAAGACCATCGAGACTAGGAAGAAACTGCATCAACTAACGAGCAAAATCACCAGCTAACATCATGATGACAGAATCAAATTCACACATAACAATATTAACTTTAAATGTAAATGGACTAAATGCTCCAATTAAAAGACACAGACTGGCAAATTGGATAAAGAGTCAAGATCCATCAGTGTGCTGTATTCAGGAAACCCATCTCACGTGCAGAGACACACATAGGCTCAAAATAAAAGGATGGAGGAAGATCTACCAAGCCAATGGAAAACAAAAAAGGCAGGGGTTGCAATCCTAGTCTCTGATAAAACAGACTTTAAGCCAACAAAGATCAAAAGAGACAAAGAAGGTCATTACATAATGGTAAAGGGATCAATTCAACAAGAAGAGCTAACTATCCTAAATATATATGCACCCAATACAGGAGCACCCAGATTCATAAAGCAAGTCCTGAGTGACCTACAAAGAGACTTAGACTCCCACACATTAATAATGGGAGACTTTAACACCCCACTGTCAACATTAGACAGATCAACGAGACAGAAAGTCAACAAGGATACCCAGGAATTGAACTCAGCTCTGCACCAAGCGGACCTAATAGACATCTACAGAACTCACCACCCCAAATCAACAGAATATACATTTTTTTCAGCACCACACCACACCTATTCCAAAATTGACCACATAGTTGGAAGTAAAGCTCTCCTCAGCAAATGTAAAAGAACAGAAATTATAACAAACTATCTCTCAGACCACAGTGCAATCAAACTAGAACTCAGGATTAAGAATCCCACTCAAAACCACTCAACTACATGGAAACTGAACAACCTGCTCCTGAATGACTACTGGGTACATAACGAAATGAAGGCAGAAATAAAGATGTTCTTTGAAACCAACGAGAACAAAGACACAACATACCAGAATCTCTGGGATGCATTCAAAGCAGTGTGTAGAGGGAAATTTATAGCACTAAATGCCCACAAGAGAAAGCAGGAAAGATCCAAAATTGACACCCTAACATCACAATTAAAAGAACTAGAAAAGCAAGAGCAAACACATTCAAAAGCTAGCAGAAGGCAAGAAATAACAAAAATCAGAGCAGAACTGAAGGAAATAGAGACACAAAAAACCCTTCAAAAGATCAGTGAATCCAGGAGCTGGTTTTTTGAAAGGATCAACAAAATTGATAGACCGCTAGCAAGACTAATAAAGAAAAAAAGAGAGAAGAACCAAATAGACACAATAAAAAATGATAAAGGGGATATCACCACCGATCCCACAGAAATACAAACTACCATCAGAGAATACTACAAACACCTCTACGCAAATAAACTAGAAAATCTAGAAGAAATGGATAAATTCCTCGACACATACACTCTCCCAAGACTAAACCAGGAAGAAGTTGAATCTCTGAATAGACCAATAACAGGAGCTGAAATTGTGGCAATAATCAATAGTTTACCAACCAAAAAGAGTCAAGGACCAGATGGATTCACAGCCGAATTCTACCAGAGGTACAAGGAGGAACTGGTACCATTCCTTCTGAAACTATTCCAATCAATAGAAAAAGAGGGAATCCTCCCTAACTCATTTTATGAGGCCAGCATCATTCTGATACCAAAGCCGGGCAGAGACACAACCAAAAAAGAGAATTTTAGACCAATATCCTCGATGAACATCGATGCAAAAATCCTCAATAAAATACTGGCAAACCGAATCCAGCAGCACATCAAAAAGCTTATCCACCATGATCAAGTGGGCTTCATCCCTGGGATGCAAGGCTGGTTCAATATACGCAAATCAATAAATGTAATCCAGCATATAAACAGAGCCAAAGACAAAAACCACATGATTATCCCAATAGATGCAGGAAAAGCCTTTGACAAAATTCAACAACCCTTCATGCTAAAAACTCTCAATAAATTAGGTATTGATGGGACGTATTTCAAAATAATAAGAGCTATCTATGACAAACCCACAGCCAATATCATACTGAATGGGCAAAAACTGGAAGCATTCCCTTTGAAAACTGGCACAAGACAGGGATGCCCTCTCTCACCACTCCTATTCAACATAGTGTTGGAAGTTCTGGCCAGGGCAATTAGACAGGAGAAGGAAATAAACGGTATTCAATTAGGAACAGAGGAAGTCAAATTGTCCCTGTTTGGAGACGACATGATTGTATATCTAGAAAACCCCATCGTCTCAGCCCAAAATATCCTTAAGCTGATAAGCAACTTCAGCAAAGTCTCAGGATACAAAATCAATGTACAAAAATCACAAGCATTCTTATACACCAACAACAGACAAACAGAGAGCCAAATCAAGAGTGAACTCCCATTCACAATTGCTTCAAAGAGAATAAAAGACCTAGGAATCCAACTTACAAGGGATGTGAAGGACCTCTTCAAGGAGAACTACAAACCACTGCTCAAGGAAATAAAAGAGGATACAAACAAATGGAAGAACATTCCATGCTCATGGGTAGGAAGAATCAATATCGTGAAAATGGCCATACTGCCCAAGGTAATTTACAGATTCAATGCCATCCCCATCAAGCTACCAATGCCTTTCTTCACAGAATTGGAAAAAACTACTTTAAAGTTCATATGGAACCAAAAAAGAGCCCGCATTGCCAAGTCAATCCTAAGCCAAAAGAACAAAGCTGGAGGAATCACACTACCTGACTTCAAACTATACTACAAGGCTACAGTAACCAAAACAGCATGGTACTGGTACCTAAACAGAGATATAGATCAATGGAACAGAACAGAGCCCTCAGAAATAACGCCGCATACCTACAACTATCTGATCTTTGACAAACCTGAGAAAAACAACAATGGGGAAAGGATTCCCTATTTAATAAATGGTGCTGGGAAAACTGGCTAGCCATATGTAGGAAGCTGAAACTGGATCCCTTCCTTACACCTTATACAAAAATCAATTCAAGATGGATTAAAGACTTAAACGTTAGACCTAAAACCATAAAAACCCTAGAAGAAAACCTAGGCATTACCATTCAGGACATAGGCATGGGCAAGGACTTCATGTCCAAAACACCAAAAGCAACGGCAACAAAAGACAAAATTGACAAATGGGATCTAATTAAACTAAAGAGCTTCTGCACAGCAAAAGAAACTACCATCAGAGTGAACAGGCAACCTACAAAATGGGAGAAAATGTTCGCAACCTACTCATCTGACAAAGGGCTAATATCCAGAATCTACAATGAACTCAAACAAATTTACAAGAAAAAAACAAACAACCCCATTAAAAAGTGGGCGAAGGTCATCAACAGAGACTTCTCAAAAGAAGACATTTATGCAGCCAAAAAACACATGAAAAAATGCTCATCATCACTGGCCATCAGAGAAATGCAAATCAAAACCACTATGAGATACCATCTCACACCAGTTAGAATGGCAATCATTAAAAAGTCAGGAAACAACAGGTGCTGGAGAGGATGTGGAGAAATAGCAACACTTTTACACTGTTGGTGGGACTGTAAACTGGTTCAACCATTGTGGAAGTCAGTGTGGCGATTCCTCAGGGATCTAGAACTAGAAATACCATTTGACCCAGCCATCCCATTACTGGGTATATACCCAAATGACTATAAATCATGCTGCTATAAAGACACATGCACACGTATTTTTATTATGGCATTATTCACAATAGCAAAGACTTGGAACCAACCCAAATGTCCAACAATGATAGACTGGATTAAGAAAATGTGGCACATATACACCATGGAATACTATGCAGCCATAAAAAATGATGAGTTCATGTCCTTTGTAGGGACATGGATGAAACTGGAAATCATCATTCTCAGTAAACTATTGCAAGAACAAAAAACCAAACACCGCATATTCTCACTCATAGGTGGGAATTGAACAATGAGATCACATGGACACAGGAAGGGGAATATGACACTCTGGGGACTGTGGTGGGGTGGGGGGAGGGGGGAAGGATAGCATTGGGAGATATACCTAATGCTAGATGACGAGTTAGTGGGTGCAGCGCACCAGCATGGCACATGTATACATATGTAACTAACCTGCACAATGTGCACATGTACCCTAAAACTTAAAGTATAATAAAAAAAAGAAAAAGAAAAAAAAATAAAGCCCTTCAAGTGCTACAAAAAAAAAAAGAAAGAAAAATCATGTGCTCAACTAAATTGGACATAGTTGTTCATGTTTGTATTCTATGAACATCTAGAAAACAAGTACTTACCATATGTAGATATACACACACATATGTTTTTGGGAAGAAAAATCTTGAAATGGATTGGTTAAAATAAAGACACAGACTTTTAAAGATCACTGTAACTCAGATTTGCAGTATGAACATTTAACTATTTCATTGACAATGATAAAGATTTTTGCCACCCTTCTTTTTGTAAACCATTGCATCAAGAATCACAACAGTGTTTCATTTAAAAGCAACCTAAGGTAGGAAAGAGCGCTGAGTGTGTCTCTAGATTCTAATTATGATTTATTACAAGAAACATTTTAACAATTCTTATTTAACAAATTCCAGAATATCTGACTCTCCTTAAACTTTAATATAAAAGTATCAGTTTTTTTTGTTTTGGGAGTACTTCTTTAAAATCAATTATTTACTGTATATCTTTATAATTATAGCAAATGTAATTAGGATATAATACTGTGTTGGGATTATTTTGCCAACTTTGTTAAATGACTTATTTACAGAAAATCTGACATCTTCTTTGCCTCTATTTTAAGTTTGACATCGAGTGGTTAGAATTTTGAGGAAGTTTGATCAATGATGAAATGATAGCTTGGTAGGGCATGCTAACCTAACTGTTTAAAAAATGTCTCTTCATAATTTATAATGACAAGCACTTAGGTTTTATTTAACTACACTAATGTATTCTATTTAAGTATGTCTAAGTACTTATAGCTTACCTATATCCATAGTATTAATACAGGCTCATGTCTAAGAGTAATTTGTAACTCTAACCTTATATAATGTTTTAGTTTCATTATTTCTAGTGATTCTGAATTACTGCTGTATTTTCTCATGCACATGATAATTAGATGAGCTTCTATCAAAGCATGTTCTTGTTTAATTATTACTACTGCTTTATTAAGGAATATTATTGTTTTTCCCACCTTCATTTCATATCTTCATAGTCCATGGTTATATATTTTTTATTCCAATAACTGACAGAATATGTAATAATTTAAGTTTTATTCAGCCAGATTATAGAGATGAAGAAAAGGATTTGCAAATTAGTTTGATTTTATCTTTGTTCAATCTCCTATCTACTGTTTGTATTATATATTTCTTTTTGTTGAATACAGTTAAGTTTATCTTTAATCAGGACTGACAATCTTTTTCAGTCCAAACCTCTTGAATAGCTAGGAGTAAAGACTTGACAAACTTCAACTAAGTAATATTATGGTAAGAGTCCCTTAACTGTCACACCTTACCTTAGTGGAAATGAGTTAACTAACTTAACACCAAAGAACAGTTGTAGAAGAATAAGCAATGTAGGAGAGAATACTGCTTGCAGTATTGGATTTAAGGGAATTTCCAAGATCTCTATTATTCACTGGCACATGGCGAGGAAATCTGTTTAAATCAGTTGTTTCCAGTTGGTTCTTCAGAGTAGATGGTGTTTATCATTATCAAGGCTCTGATATATCGAATATTAATGACAGATAAAAAAGAGAATCTCAATCATTGAGTATGTCTGCAAAAAGAGCTAGCTCCAATTTAAAAGGGTATTAATTTTCATAGAGAGGTAATATTTTTTCTGTGGTATTCCCCATGCTTAATGTACTTTCTAAACTTGGATGTACTTGGATAGAAATCTGTTGTTTTAAATTGAATATTCCTCTGTTCACCCTTATATTTCATTGAAAACAATATTCAGTGATATCATCAGTAAAACAATAGGTATGAAATAGGTGGCTTCTTTGTTTAATAAATATGATTTTTAGGAATCTGACAAAGAACTAATGAGTTGTTTTACTATAAAAGTTATGTTGATATGCATAAAAATAGAAAAAAATTCCAGATTTTTAGAGAAGAAAAAATATCTTAAAGATAGTTTAGGAAAATGTAAATGAATATAATCTAAAATATTTGTGTATTTGTCATTTTAAAAATATAAATAATTGAGGTAACTTCAGGATAAAAATGTCACTATGATGTGTCATTATATATTTTTCTTCTGAATCACATGATTTATATAGAAGTTTATCTGCAGAATATGAGATTCATCTTGTGTTATCTGAATGACTTTTTATCTGTACACCCCAAAGACTATTTCATGATATCTTATTTTGTTAAATAATTGCTAGTTTTCCAAAAGTATATAAGTTTCAAAAGTGAATTTAAAATTTCAAGAAGACTCATAGCCTGCAAGTCTGATTTTATATTTTCATTCTTTGTTGCTTATTAAAACTACAGTTGCATTAATGACTGTTGAGGACTTTGAGAAGAGTTAGTCTCCCAATTGTTGAAAGGCTAGTGGTCTGCTCTTCTTTTTTCCCTTAACTGTTCAATTCTCAGATATTGACCAGTGGAATAAGGTAATTGAACAACTAGGAACACCATGTCCAGAATTCATGAAGAAATTGCAACCCACAGTAAGAAACTATGTGGAGAATCGGCCCAAGTATGCGGGACTCACCTTCCCCAAACTCTTCCCAGATTCCCTCTTCCCAGCGGACTCCGAGCACAATAAACTCAAAGGTATGCCCTTCAGGAATGACTTGAGGACAACTATGAGGGTGACGGGCCAAACAAGCACACAGTATAGAGACCTCTATCTCTTTCTCTTTGTTCCCTTTTATTTTTAGTTGACACATGATAATCGTACATTTTTGTGGGATATAGGGTGGTATTTTTGAAACATGTATAGAGGTATAATGGTCAAATCAGAGCAATTAGCATAACCCATCACCTAAAACATTGATCAATTCTTTAATTGGCACAGCCTCAAGTTAAAGAAATATTTCTTCAAAGATCGTTCCTACAAAGGGGAGTAGCCACGGATTTTAGAATTGTCTGGATATTCAGGGCCGGGGGCGGTGGCTCAAGTCTGTAACCTCAGCACTTTGGAAGGCGGAGGCGGGAGGATCAAGAGGTCAGGAAATCGAGACAGACCATCCTGGCCAACATGGTGAAACTGCGTCTCTCCTAAAAATATAAAAAAATTAGCTGGGCATGGTGGCACACACCTCTAGTCCCAGCTACTCAGGAGGCTGAGGCAGGAGAGTCGCTTGAACCTAGGAGGAAGAGGTTGCAGTGAGCCGAGATCGGGCAACTGCATTCCAGCCTAGAGATAGAGTGAGCAAGACTCCGTCTCAAAAAATAGATATATATTATACTTCATAATGTAATTCCAATTTTCTTGAGTTTACTTTTTAAATCAATTTGAATCTCTGCAATTATGTTTGTAAATGATAAACTAGTTTGCATATTTGATTATTGAATTTAATTTTTAATATAAAATTGGCAAATTATAAATAATCTTAATATACAAATAACCAAAGAGAAGAATGTATTCTACTGTGTTTGGAAAAGAGCATAACACATTTGCTTTCAAATGAAAGAATGAAAGATAAAGCATTGAAACATTTTCCCATATTGTTTCCTAAAAATAGTATTGTTTCTTAGCAAGATGATTTTGTATTGGTGTAGTTCATGACCCTATTCATGAAGAATCCATTGTAACCCCAGCCCTTTCTTTTTTTTTTTTTTTTTTTTTTTGAGACAGAGTCTCGCTCTGTCGCCCGGGATACCGATCTAGGCTCACTGCAAGCTCCGTCTCCCAGGTTCACTCCATTCTCCTGCCTCAACCTCCCGAGTAGCTGGGACTACAGGCGCCCGCCACCACGCCCAGCTAATTTTTGTATTTTTAGTAGAGATGGGGTTTCACCGTGGTAGCCAGGATCGTCTCGACCTCCTGACTTCGTGGTCTGCCTGCCTCGGCCTTCCAAAGTGCTGGGATTGCAGGTGTCAGCCACGACCACGCCCGGCTAACCCCAGCCCTTTCTAAGAGCAGAAAAATGGATAGATTTGATGAGAGAATCTTATGAGAATGGTACATGAATTTGGATGTAAAATCAGTTACAAATTAAAGAGGTCTTTAAAGCAATGAATAAATAAACACAGCCCTGTTAGGCTATTAGGAGGCCATTGGCAATGAGAAAAATTAAATATTGAATTAATGTATAAGTATTTCTGTATTTTTGTTATTCCTGTGCGGTACAGAGTTTTAATTTGAAAGTAATGATAATCAGTTTCTAGGATTGAGTTTCCCAGAAAAATGATTAATAGAAATAAAAAATTCTCAAGTTTAACTAGTGATTTTTCATATTTGTTCAGAAAATTAAAAGATATATTTATTGATGTAATTACCAAGAAAATACTTACAGGTAAAAAATTAATTGCTACATTTTAACTATAGTATGGTTAATATTACGTGAAAAATACATGAACGGCACTAGAAAAAATATGCCAATAATCACAGTCATTGCCTCTAGCTAGTGGGGTTAGATATTATTTCCTGATTTTTGTATTTTATATAATTTTCAAATTTGTAGAATTAGCCAAGTTGTTTTAATCTGAAAAATTGATTAAATAAAAATTGATATGTATCCAGAGTCATCTATGTTGATTTTTTGAAAAATCCATTTAAATTTTGTTATCTTTAATTTGATGTTTTACCATATAGTTAGAATAAACTGAATATTTTCACGGTTCAACTTTCAGATCAGTTGAGTAACAATATTGATTTGAGATATTCATTTCTGTTAAAACTTTATGTAAAAGACTAGGGGAGGGATAGCTTTAGGAGAAATACCTAATGTAGATGACAGGTTGGTGGGTGCAGCAAACCACTATGGCATGTGTATACCTATGTAACAAACCTGCATGTTGTGCACATGTATCCCAGAACTTAAAGTATAATAATTTAAAAAATTTACATATTTTTAGAGGTTAAAATTAATGTGTCTTTTAACAATCTTACTAAATAAATAGCTATCACCATATAATTTTATAACTGTTACTGCCCACAACCATAAAATTAATTATGATAACCTTTACATAATATAGAGTTTCTCATTAGTGTCTGGTGTAGCATTAGACTGGCTTCAGTCTTTAACTACTGGATTTCATCAAGTCATGATTCCATTGATTAAAAATACCTGATGATTACAGAATGTTAAAATAAAATTCAGTAGTTGAATGATATTATTTCTATCACTTCAATTCTTTGATTGTTTTTATGTATATAAGAAATTTGTGGCTGGGAGCAGTGGCTCACTCCTTTAATCCCAGCATTTTGGGAGGCTGAGGTGGGAGGATCTTTGAGCCCAGAGTTCGAGACCAGCTTGGGCAATGTAGGGAGATCTTATCTTTACAAAAAAAAAGAAAGAAAGAAAAAATAGCCAGGCATGGTGGTGCATGCCTGTAGTTCCAGTTACTCGGGAAGCTGGGATGGGAGGATCCTTTGAGCGCAGGAGTTCCAGGCTGCAGTGAGCTGTGATCATTCCACTACACTCCAGCCTGGCAACAGAGGGATACCCTGTCTCAAAAATAAATAAATAAATAAATAAACAAAAACAAAAAGAAAAGAAAAATTTGTATGATACAAACTCTTAAGTCAATTTATATACTAAAATTCTGATAATTCCGTTGTATAAATAAGAATATAGAGACACACGTGTTGATTAACTTCAAACAGCCGTCCACACATTTGTTGAACATCATGCATTTGCACTCTGTGCTCTTTATTCTGTTTATCCTATATTCATGCAGGTTACCAAAGAAGATGACTTTGCTTACATAAACTCTCCAGGTTGATACATTTTACTAAGAAGTTTGCGTGAATAATTATATACCCAAAGTGTTACAACCCTTGGAGAGCCTCAGAATGAAGCCTTAGGCTTAGAGACACAAAGAAACAGGTGTAAAATGCATTTTCTTTTCCATCACATCAAGGGATTTACCTGATGTTTGGAAGGAAGATACTATTCCATACTTTGTTTTCTTAAATTTCCTCTCTGACAAATTTCCTTACTGAAATCAAAATCTTACTAATTGTTTTTCTCATTTATTGTTTCAGCCAGCCAAGCCAGGGACTTGTTGTCAAAGATGCTAGTGATTGACCCAGCAAAAAGAATATCAGTGGACGACGCCTTACAGCATCCCTACATCAACGTCTGGTATGACCCAGCCGAAGTGGAGGCGGTAAGAAATAGGCTGCCTTTACTTTGCTTCCACAAACAAATCATAGCTCATAGCAAAAACTGAATAGGACTAGAAGCCTAAAGAATGCACAATGGATTTTTATAAAATTTCTAAGTCCAAAGCCTATTATCTGCCCCTCTAAAAGCTATTTTCTTCAACATATGTTTTAAATACATTTTTTTCAGGACTTACTAGAAGAGGGTATGATTTAGTCCTACAAACCTTAGATGTCCATGATACACTACCATTTGTTTCTGTTAAATTGCCAATACTTGTGTTTCTTCTTGTGTGTTTGACTGCCAGTCTCTTCTAATGCAAACTTAGTGGTAGGAAACAACAGAGGACAAGTTGCTTAGCTTGTATTTTTTTTTTGAAAAGATACCTGCCACTAGTAAAATGTGATACTTAAGAATATTTCAATTAGAAAGCTTTTATAAGATGATTAAAACGATTGGTGGCTTTGTGAAACCTTGCATGAACTAGATGAACTAGAAGTGGGTATTTCAGTAAGTACATTACTTCAGGTTGATCAGTATGATGTATCTCCATGTCTGATACCCAGACATGGAGAATCTTCTCAGAAGCATAACTCTTTCTATTTTAAAAATATTTTTCAACCATTTACTATCTTCTGTTCAACCTCTTTCTTTCATCTTTACCTCTCTCCTTTCCTCTGTATGGATCCAGGGCTGAGCAGGGCAAGGGGGGCTTGCTGTTGCCCATGTGTGTTCTATAGGCCTCCTGATGAGAATTTCCTTTCTGCACTGCCTTTAAATGTTTCTATCAGGAATGTTACCTTCTCCCTTAAACATGAGAAGCTTCTCAAATTCTTAGAGTACCTGTGCTAAAGCATCTCATATTTTTTTACATAATACCTTCCAATCCATTTGTTTGGATTTGTTCTTAATCTTTCATTTGAAATACTGTTTGTTTCCCCAAAGTATTCTTAAAGATATTTTCACTTTCTTTCAGTTTTCTTTCCTCTGCTTCACCATGTGTTTTTCCATGTCAGAGGTGCTAGATTCAAACACATAATTCTCATTTCTTCATTCTTCACTAGAGAAGATACGAAAGAAAGTGAGAACTAGGTAGAATTGAACTTTACAGACACAATATTAAACAGGTCCTTTTCATAATGTAACCCAATCTTTAAGCATTTAAAAACTTCAGAGAAAACACTTAAGTGATTAATGAATCTCCCAAGTGTGAAGACTGCACTACATTTTGTTTAAGATCTGCTCTCTTAGTTTTACAATGATGTTGAGATTTCATGTTGCCTCAAGTTAATTTTTAGTCATTTTATTTGATTCTTACCAAATAATATCCCTACAATTAAATATTTCTGAGTTTAATTATAATGTTCTAAAAATTAATATATATTCTTACAACCAAAATATAGAACCTCTTCCAGTCTCCCACACTTGGGAAATACTTGCACAGATGTTCTTGGGATGGAATGAAGTAGTGAAGTAAGTGAGAGAAAGTATGATGTATATGTTTACAAAAATTAAGTATAAAAATTTTATCTCTGATGAAATTCAAGAAAATATTTTAGGTTATGTTGATAAACATTTTATATAAATATGTATTATCTGAAATTGTTTCTCCTCATTTATTTTGAGGCATATTAACTTATGCCTCACTATGTGGCATATTTATTTTTTCTTATATCTAACTTAATATGTATAATCTGTTTTTAATGCATTGTGGCCTAGAGTTTAATTAGAGTCATAAAGTCTGCATTTGTAATTCACTTTTAATTATGTTGCCTATAAAAGAGATAGTTGCTTGGAATCTATAACATCTTACTGAATAGTATCAATGAGTTTTTAAATTTATTTTAACTTTTTATGAAAAACTTCTTTGTAGAATGAAAAGATAAAATTTAGGATACTAAAATAGCTGGAGCCTTTTTCTTAACCACTTTGATATTGGTCATGCTGGGGCACGGATAGTAACAAGGCAGGATGTATGAATTTTAGGGGAAGGATCTGATAGAGCCTGCAGTTCCAGAAAAAGAAGACAGTTAATGCACAGAACAAGCAAGTACTTGACATCTAGACTCAGATCATTGATTATACAAGGGTAAACATGTCTTACATCTAGACATGTTGTAGTGAAGAGATGGGAATCATGATCCCAGGGCAAGAACAATTTATTACTCTATGAAGTGCATTACAGTGGTCACAACTAAGAAGAGAAAGATCCTGAAGGTGCTAGAATCAGTAGTCAGCTATGCTTTCTGCAATATCCTTAGAATTCATGTCTCTGTTATTGCATATGAACATGTGTTTAACATAAGATAACCTTTCTCTATGGACACATGGCAAAGCTATAATATAGTGATATATCTTCTGCCGGGGCTGACAAGACTGTTTTGCAAAATATACCCCCGTATGTCTTTATAATCCAAATAAATGGAAGTATCAAATAATTGGGATTTTTATTCTGATCAAAGAGCTTTCAAGTAACTCACATGCTGTTAGGGAGGGAAGGAAATTCAAAGATGAGAGAGAAGAAAAATAAGTTTCATTGGATGGAAATAATGGCAAGTGGATAGGGGATAAAGAACAAACTATGATAAGGTGATATTTAGAGGAAAAGTCAAAAGAGTATAGATATGCTATGTGTGCTAAGCTATTAGTTATACTACGAGCTATCTTATCATGTTTCCCAAACTACCAAAGTACAAAAATCAAGAGAGAAGAGCATATGAATGAATGTTGTCATAATTCTGAGAGGGAAAATTAGTCATGTACACATGAGTTAGAAAATTTTAAAAATTGGATGCCAAGCTCAAGAGTAATCCATCTGTGTAGTAATAGTACATAAATATTTTGAAATAACTGCTCAAATTATTAGCAACTTCTTATTCAAATAATGTTTAGAGTAACAAAGTGTGATTTCAAAGTAGAACACACAAATCGTGTATAATGTCAATGCTTTTTCATGAAACAAATAGAAGATGCTCTAACTCTGGTTCAGTATTCATCAAGAGGGCAAATATATTACACACAAATGTAATTGGTTGACTTATTTGCATCTTCATAGGTATGAAAGATGAGTTAGGTTTAAATTTCTGCTCTTCCCATTACTAATTTGCTTTGATCAAGTTGCTTAACCTTTCTGCAACTCAGTTTTCTAAACTAAGAAAGTTCTCCTTTCTTATCATATGTACAGCATAGCATTCTGAGATTTTGAAAAGTTAAAGTGCTTAGCAAATGCTTGGGAGTCAGTAAGAATCATGTAAATTATTCTTACCCTTATAATACTTATAATTACTATTACTATTATGACTTTTACATGCATAGCTTTACTATCTTTTGATATTTGAAAAAGATATATGCGTCTGGTGAAAAAGACTAGCTGGCCAGGAAATTGCAGAAATATTCCACAACATTTCTTTTTTGAACAATGATGACAATGATCTATTTCCCACATGATTTTAGGTCCATTTTTTTCATTTTCTTTTGTTTAATGTATACCTACCTCTTCTTTGCCAGGTAGAAGAAAATCTAGTGTCATTAGTTTAAACCAAAATAAAGACACATTATAGATTCCACAAATCTTGATTATCAGTAGGAGATTTTTGGGATTTTGGGGGGAACTCAGTTTAATATCTTCCTTGTGCCCTGTTGGAAGAAAATACAATGTTCATGAAGCTTTGTTGCCTTATCTCTTACCACATTACTGAGTTTAGGCACCCTGCTAGGATCCAGTGGTGGCTTTACCACTGAGAGTGGAGCTACAGATAAGCCTTAAGGAGCATCTGGGTGAACTCCAAGCTAAGGAAGAGTTGATTAACTATTTCTCAGGGCACAGAAGAAGAGGAACATAAGCTGTAACTATTTTTTTTAAATAGCTTTATTTCTGCCAGAAATTTCAGAGCACTTCAAGAAAGCTCCTGAGTGCAACGGCCTTACAAAAGGCTCCATTTTGTAGTTCTTGTTCCTTGCAAGGGCATAGGGAGAGGGAGCAGGAGAGGGAGATGTGAGTTCAGCCAAAACCAAGTACATCAAAACTCAAATAAATCATCATGAAGAAGCCTAGTACAAACATATGGAGTCAGAGAACACTTCATGATTCCTCAATTCTTGACTAAAAGGAAGGAGCTAGACCTGAGATTAGAACCATCCCCTAAGATGGGACAGGCGTTGAGGCCAAGCTTCATGGCCAGTGGTGATCAACCAGATAGACCATTGTGTTGAAGGCTGTGTTTCAGAGATGCCCAGAGACAGTTCTTAATGGCTGAAACCTTACTCTGGGAATCAGGGCAGAGAGGCAGGTAGAGCTGCTTGGGCAGCTGGCATTTTGGAATTCTTTTCTCTAGTAGGTGAACCTGGGGTACTTGAGAACCCAGAGGACAGCTGGCAGGAAACATAGGGCCTTCTGTGTGGCAGCCAAATGAAAGTTCCAGAAGAGAATGCTGGAAATGAGGCCTGGAAATTGTACTCCAGCTATAATGTAGACCACAGAGAGAGAGCGGGCATGTTTTGTTTGGGAATCTAAGGACACACGACATCCTCCACTAGACTAAGAGAAAAGGTGTAACTAATTCAACCAATTTGGCTGGAAGGTGATTTGGTAAACAGGGCCAGTGCTGAGCTTGCTTGTTATTTTTTCACCTAACTCAAGATTAATTTGGGAATTGGGACAGGGTTGGGTGGGAATTTAATCTACCGATACAGATCCTGAATTAAACAACATGATCTTCAGATTCCCAGGGAGAGTATAACCTGGGAAACAGAGTAACAGTTACATGTATTAGTGCTGAAGTTCAATTAAAATAAACACTTAAGAAACATGAGCCCAGAATAGTCAACACTATTACACATTTACTGTTTGTTTATAATGTAAAGTGATTAAGAGGGTCTTAAATGCTTAATTATTATTATTTACTAGTTCACTACTTTAGGGATTATGTTATTTTTGCCTACGGTGAAAGAATTTATAGAAACAAGTTAACCTGGCTATATTAAGCTATTTTATTACAAGGCCATCATAGATTCCATGCCCTGTGAGCAGAGTTACTATCTGACATTATTTTATCCATCTTCTTGTCTGCCATTATATCTTACTGGATATTACCAAAGAGGATGCATGGAAGGGATGACCAATCATGTGGGAAATATACTTTATTTTTAATCTTCTTGTGACACAAATATGTAAACTTTGATATTGTGTATGCCTATTATGCCTAAAATCTATTCAAGGTAAATCTGAAGTGGGAACTTAGAGATAATTATAGAGTGGTTTTGTCCTGCAGTTCAGCAAACATCAGCATTCAGAGTAGCAACTTTTCAACTTTGAGCAGCTATAGGACCAGCAACCATGATGAAGTGAATGGAATAGAGCTAGATGGGATCAGAAGAAAGAGAGAAGGGAATCAGAAGCCTGTGGTCAAAGTAGAACAGGTTCCAGAGCTTGATCTGGGCATTCCAGAGAGACAGCTGATGCAGATATGTAGGCCAAGCAGTCAAGACCAGCTGGGTAGTCAGGAGAGACATGTGGTCTAAGATCAGAGATCTAAGTAGATGAGACCCTAAGGGGTATTTAAAGGTGTCAGAGATAAGGATGTTCTCATATTGCAATGCAGAAGTCAAAAGCAGACACTCTTGGACCAACACAGAGATAAGCAAAAATGGGAAGCCACTACCAACCTGAGAGCTAGGGGGCGATTTACTGGAGCCCAGGTAGTAATGGCCTGTCCAATGGGAGCTAGAGTCACTAACACAGGTAAGATACAGCTGCTTCTAGAGAAAAGGGTGGGGAGAAATGGCCTAGATTCTCCCCTCTGTCTCCTGGTGATATCTCCCTCCTATTGGCTGAGACCAACCCTAAGGCAACTGACAGACAAATCTGGGAAATATGGCCTAATAGAGTCCAGCCCCCTGAGAAAAAGAGCAACTAAAGAAAGGGGGAGGACAGCATCTGTGGGCAAATGTGTCCAGGGCTGGCACTTACCAGGTCATTCTTTCCTTATTCACAATTCTGAAATCCCTAAGTAAAGGAGAAGTAACCAGGGAACGGAGCACAATTCCTCTGGAGAGGAGAAGACTTTAGATGTTAGAAGAGGTACTCAAGGACCTCCCCTAGTAAAGTGAAGTAAGCATCCCCCTAATAATTATTTAATTTCTTCAAGTATTTCATGATTTCTTGCCAAGACATCGCAAGTACTATACCAACCTGATAGTCTTGGCAGAAGCGTATTTCTCATTGGGGTTTCCACTGAATGTGCACTTCCTTCCTTTTATGTGTTGATGTCACTCTTTCGATTGTTGGTTGTAGGGCTACAGTCTTGTTGAGACAATGTTGGACCACATGTACGTAAGGGGAGTGAAAGGATTCAGCCATCTGTTTTCTTTTAGGTTGCTGTAAATCTACTCTTCTGCTGCCATAGGAAAGACCTCTTTCACTAGGAAAGAACTTTTCACTTTCCTCTCACTCACCTCTTTTTTATTTCTTCCTTTTTTATCTCTTCTTCACTTCTTACCCTTTTCTCTTTTTTATCCAACAGAGTTATTCACATAAGCTTTGACTATTTGTTAACAGTTTAGTATTTATTCACTTATTCTATAAATATTGACTGAACCCACACTTTGTGTTCCACACTGACCTAGATGATAGTGATTCAGCATTGAATTTTTAAACAAAAAATGAAAAAAAAACAGGTCCCTGCTTTTATTGTTCTTGGTAGGTTTCTAATAGTTAATAGCAATTTCTATTGAATGAGAATCTTTGATAACTTATCATCTCCTGAAGAAACAAAATAAACTCCTCCAAATATGAATTATCTACCTTACTTGATTATTTAACTTGTTTGGTGTATGGTTTCCTGACTGTAGAATCTGAAATCCTATGTCCCTTGAAATGTTAATCAGTTATAACTAAACTGCAGTGAGAATCTGCTAATCTTCAACCAGATGTGCATCAACTGCTTTGAATCATAATTAACAAGTTATGCTTATCCACTTTTAGCTATGATTTTTAAACTATTATTTGACTGAATATAAAATAATGTCCTGCTGGGCACAGTGGCTCACACCTGTAATCCCAGCACTTTGGGATGCCAAGGCGGGTGGATCACTTGATATCAGGAGTTTGGGCCTGGCCAACACGGCAAAACCCCATCTCTACTAAAAATACAAAAATTAGCCACCTGTAGTGCCAGGTACTGGGAAGGCTGAGGCAGGAGAATCGCTTGAACCCGGGAGACAGAAGTTGCAGTGAGCCGAGATCGCACCACTGCACTCCAGCCTGGGAGACAGAGTGAGACCGTCTTAAAAAAAATAAATAAAATAAAATAAAATAAAATAAAATAAATAAACAAAAAAGTCCTGACCAAGCTGACTAAGTTTGGTTACCCAAATGCATAGATTATTACTGAAAACCAAAGAATCCTAAAGTTGCTATACTAAACATAAAAGTATACAATCTTTAAACTATAAATTAAATCTTTCTATTTACTATAGCAACTAAATAAAAATATTTAATTTATATTTTAAAGATTCATGTATTAATTTATTGACCATCTGAAGCCTTTGAGCATAGTTCACATGACTGAGGATGATGGGAAGGAGTTATTCTCATTCCTTATTATCACTGACTTTTAATTCTCTCAAATACATTTTTACTGTAAAAGCTAATATCATTTGATTATGAATATCCTGTGTTACTTGCTCTATTAAATCTACTCCATGAATGAGTTCTTGTTTGCATTGTTTCTACCTTTATTAACTGTGGCTTAACCAGTTGTCTTTTACTGAATTCTCTTGAATCCATAATAAATTCCTGAAACAACATGGTGAAGAATAGACTTATAAATATATTTGATTATAACTAGAAGCAATGTACTTTGTTAGACTCAGTATATATGAATTTAGGAATGATAAGGAAAAATATGAGCTACAATGAATATGAATTTGATGCATCTAATGTTCAAATAGTTCATCAGTAGATATCTACTGTTTGGAGATAAACCATTGAATAAAATATGCATAAGTTTGCTTCAAATATTTTATAATCCTTTTATTAAATTGGTTAGTTTGAGTGTAGCACTGTGAGTTAAACCTGAAGTATCTGGAAGACATGATTTAAGTGAGTTATAAATGCAAACAGCTCTCTATACAGACTGTATCTCCCGTTGGGAGGAAAGGGGATTAAAGTCTTTGTGAGTCACATTTTCCTTTGATGAGTGATATCAAAAGGTTAGGGCATGTCCTCAAGACAATTTCTGAATAACTAATCCATCTGAAATTCTGAAACTACAGTTTTTGTTTCCTGATTTTCCCCACAGGGTACAGTAATGTACTTAAAATAGTTAATAGGCATTATTTTTGTTTGCTGTCATTTGATTTGTCTGAGAAGGAAGTCAGTTTGCAAGTGAAGTTTATTATATAAAATTTAATAGCAACTCTCAAGTGGCAGAAAATACCTATCAAATATTTAAATAAGCATAAACTGCAAAACTTGAGTTACTTAAGGATTTTTTTTGGTAGAAATTTGAAAATTTTTATTAAGAAGGAAAAACTTCATTTCACTAAAATAATAAGAAAGCTCTTTTAAAAAAACATTTCATGGGTAGAAAAAGCCTCTGTTGCTTTTTATTAATAGAAAAGATCTGCAGTGCCTATCACACTGAATATGACCTTGGATTTTACTGCTAGTTTATTTCTTGATGCTATATATGTGTGCACAGTTTTAGTAAGTTTCCCCATTTTTACTTGTTTAGATTTTTTTTGAAACATGCTTATTACTTTGGATTTCAACTTGGAAAGCTTATAAATGAAACATACTATTATACTTGATAAAGCACATCAATTGAGTTTTCTCAGGAAAGACCTATTTGGAGGTTTTTATAAAGGGCTTATTCTCAAAAAGATTTCTGAGGTCATTTCTAGCATTTTAGGAATATCAAACAAAAATTTTATCTAAGTTCCCCTAAATATTTTCACAAGTAAGACAAACTACTGTATCCTAGAATGAGGAAAAGAATAATTAACAATGTGAATAATTTCAAGTATCTGTAATGTTTAGCATGTTAGTGATTTTATTTCCATAATATGTTTTAGTATTTCTTGTATATTTTAAACTTGACAATTAGTCCAAGTATTTCCCAAGTGCCCATCACCAGTTTGGTCTATAATCTGTGTGCAGGTCACTGGTGACCTTTTGTTTCCTGGAAGTAGAAAAACAAAGAGGTAACTCAGTGATATTGTACTGTGAGACATCATGATTCTCTTTTCTCCATTCTAAAACTGCCATCATTTAAATTCTGTTTTTCGACCAGATGTCCTTATGAATTCTTTTAAATATGATTTGTTCTACTCACATGGAGTTAATAAACTGGCTGAATTCCTCCCTCAGCTGTTCTCTCCATCTGTCCTGCCACAAGGACTACCTCTTTGAGTCTTTGGATTTCTTATTATTGCCGCATGTGTCATGCTGTGAAAAAGCTAGTGTGACCCATGGCAGGCTTAATTTGAGAAATAGTTTAGTACCATCTATCTGTCATAGAAGACTCTTTCAGTGTGGAGTTGAACTCTAAGTAGGTTTGTTAGACTCAGAATATATATAAATTTAGAAATGAGGAGGAAGAAATATGAGCTACAATGGATATGAATCTGATGCACTCTAATTATGTGCTTAATTATAGAAAGAGCAATTCGTATTTTGTGGTTTTCATTTGCTTGGGGAAAGTTAAATCAATGTCTGTAATTCCATTTGTGGAGTTCTAAATTTCCATCTGTTCATGCTGATGTATTCTTTCAGCAGCAAAATATGAGCAGTTTACTAATTGCCTTCCAGAGAAAATATAGCTTCATTAGATTTTGCTTGCCCAGTGCCTCAGCTGCTTAACGTGAAGCTATCGTTTGAATTGCCTTCGGATTGTTTTGATGCCATGTATTATGTTGGTGGGAGCTTGTCAAAATGTTTGTTGTAGATAGAGTTAGCCACCTGCTTTTAGGAGCCTCACTCCCTATATGACTTATAATAGGAATATGTATTTCACTGAAAATATGTAACTCATTTATCTCTAATTTTAGCAAGTTCTATTCCTGAAGAGAAAGGTTCATCTTAATTTTAATTCATTGGGATATTCAGAATCCACTGAATCCAAGATTCTCAGGTGTGAAAAGCTGGAATGGTTGAATTGTTCATTCTTAGGAGAGACATGTTTTGTTGTCTAGTAGAATCCATGCTTTGGTTTTTGTTTTCATGTTTTATCTTGAACACTTTAGACCATGAGTGCTATTAATCTTTTGAATGGATCACTGAGAGAGAATACTTTATGAAAAGGGGGAAGGGAACAGAAATTATTTTTCTAAAACATTTCATGCCTGTTGCTCTCTGAAAGGCTGAGGTATGGCTAAGGTATTCTGTCAGGTTCTTCCAAATACTTGATTTTATTTCTTCTCTCCTAGGTGATATCTGAGATATTGTGAGATCTACCTATTTATCTTGAGGTAGTGGGCATTTGTGAGAGTGTATTTTATTTTCTTAATATGTTTCATCCTGGAAAAAAAGAGATTATCCAACGTGTCATCTGCATAGGATGTAATCCATAAACTGTGGGAGAAAAAAATATATATTTTTCTTTTTTAGGATTCCTTCTATGAAATAAGCAAAGAAGTCAGGGTGGGAACTTGTGAGATGTTCTGTTAACTAAAATTTACCAAATTTTATACTAAGAGGAAGAATAAAAAAGAGAAAAGAATAGGAGTATGTCAGAAGACAGAATCTCTGTCAGACAGCTTTGCCTCGAGATAAGTAGAGGCTACAAAATTGGGGAATCTCTAGGAAGCATAACTCTTTTGGTAATTTGCATTCCTGCCTTGTTTGCTTACCTGTAATGTTGCTAAAACAATCAAACTAGACTTGAATTTTTGTCCATCATCAAAGAATCTCCTCTTAACCACTGTGTATACATGTTCAAGGAGAGCTCTAAGGCACTCCTACCCATCCTCATATCATTGTGTTTTCAGTAAAGAGCATTTATCAATAAAGAAAATGATATGCTCTGCAGAGGTAATATTGTTTTCTGCAAGGCCTGGATGTTAATTATTATACATAAACTCTGTAATTTAAAGGCCACATCAGTTCTGTACCCAGCAGAATTATTTGGTGAGCAGCCCTGCTTAAGTTCCTAAAGGTTTACTTTAAGTAGTAGGTTTGCTATTTGCCAGATTTTTCTTTGCTCCTTTGCTCTCAAAATCAATGAGGTTTAATTGCATGATGAACTTTTAAATACTACATTCTTCTTTTTAAAAAAAAAATACCCTCCAGGCACAGTGGCTCAGGCCTGTAATCCTAGCACTTTGGGAGGCCAAGGCGGGTGGATCACTTGAACTCAGGAGTTTGAGACCAGCCTGGGCAGCATAGCGAAATCCCGTCTCTACTAAAGATACAAAAATTAGCCAGGCATGGTGGCTTACACTAGCTACTTGGGAGGCTGTGGTGGGAGAATGGCTTAAACCTGGGAGGCGGAGTTTGCAGTGAACCAAGATTGCACCACAGCACTCCAGCCTAGGTGACAGAGGAAGACTCTATCTCAAACAACAGCAACAACAACACCCGAGTATATACATACTTATCCTCCATGATTCAACGTAACAAATGTTTATAGCACCCCTATGAATGCTGAAACTGTACCAGATCTAGAGATGCACACAGGAGGGCATTTCTCTGCTCTTAGGAGCTCACTACCCAGCACTGAGCTTTCCTATGACCCCTAAGGGTTCCTTAGAGGAACTTCTGGGGGCTTTTGAAAAACATCCCAAAATTTTCTATCAATAATTATGTATTTACATCTTTCTGGACATCCAGTTCACAGGCTTTTTCAGATCTTCGGAGTTCCTTTACTCCAAATTTAATTCTTAAAATTTTGAAAATCATGAGTCTAGTAAAGAAAGTTTTCAGTGGATGGGGGGAGGGGACTGCAAAAATGCTGATAAGTTACTCTTAGACTAGATTATCATTTATAGA
Organism: Homo sapiens; assembly: GCF_000001405.40. Lineage (NCBI taxonomy): Eukaryota > Metazoa > Chordata > Mammalia > Primates > Hominidae > Homo > Homo sapiens. The sequence continues at coordinate 86,052,280 of NC_000004.12, read as the reverse complement.
CATAACAAAAAGATTTAATACACGTTTTAGGAAATAATTTATTGTCTTCGGGTAATTTTAAAATTTGTATTAAAATGCTCTTTCATCTGTAAAAGTCCTACTTTTTTTAAGGAAAGTGGTGGAGGCAGAAGTAACTGATAAATGTAAAATATTATGCTTTCAATTTTTATTATTGTGATTTAAAAAAACTATTAACATTATAAAAACAGTTTCTTGTGGTCCCTGACAATTTTAAAATGGTATTTTTTTTTCAAGAAATAGAAATTAATAGCCACTGTCTACTCTTCAAGTAGCTAGTTCTTTTCTTATGCTGTGAGGCTTTCAGGGGTTCCTCATACTTTGTTTCCACTTTGTTTTTCGGAAGCACTCACTTCCTTTGCGATATTTATTTTCCTCTGCCATGTTTGTCTCCAAAGATTTTTGTTTGTTTCTTTGTCCATGATCTAAGAAGGTGGTTATGTTGTGCATTGCAACAAAAAGTTGAGACGATCAAATGAACAACAACAAAAACACACAGAAAATTAACCAAACATCTTGTTTGAGAAGTCATGCTTAGAGCTGGTGATGCTATCAATATTAGGAAGTAAACTAAGAAGTTTGACAGTCTAGCAGAGAAAGGAAAATAATCAGAAAGTGTAATCATTAATGATGCTGAAAATGAATATGTGTGGTGATGTGAAGACAACTTTAAACGCTGTAGGATGTTTATGCTGACATTTAAAAATCCCTAAATGAAAGCTATAGACATGAAGTCGGAATGTCATCACAACTCTACATAGACCACAAGTCTGGAAGTTGCAGAGCTGCAAAAGAACCAGAAAAAGGATAGGCAGAAACTATTCCTGGGTGCTAAATCATGGTAACCTTCAGATTCAGGGAAAAGGCTGAATCTCAACATTTTCTTCCCAAGTGTAGATCCATGACTTAGGCCCTAGGGCATTCGTTATATGTGAGGAGAAGGTAGAATAGATGAGACAGAATATTGAAAAGGTTACACTCCCTTTTTACAAGTCTATTAAAAGTTTATGGTCTTTCCAGGAGTATGTGCTATAATAAAATTATTATGTCCCTTTCTAATGGTAGGGCAATTGTAAGAATGATAAAAGCCACTTCCATAACTTGCTGCAGGTTTCATATGAGACTCAGAGGGTTGTTTGTAGAATAATGACCCACAATATATTGTGAAAGAGAATATAATGTATGTAAAACAACATGAGTTCAATCAACAATCAAAAGATGCTCCCCACAGTTTCTAATTCCAAGAAGAATCTGATTTCTATCTTTAGGTGCATTTTGAAAGCTGAATTCCTTCGATGTTCCTCTGTAAAAAGTGAGAGATAAATTAGCTAACCCTCAAGCACTTTTTCTGAAAATTTCTTACCTAAGGTATGTGTTGTTTTTGACTAAGTTAGCGTAAAGAACTTTTGGTGACTTTCTTTCAGGACATATATGCCAGAATGCTGTTTTCATAGTACAGCAATCTGTTACCACTTCTTTTTCTGAGGTAGGCCTGCTCATGCCTCTTGCACCATTCCTGTTTAATCATGAACAATAGTTTATTCCTAGCCAGAATTCTTACATGCATAGTCACAGGTAGGTTTTCTTAAGTAATGAATAGCTCCCCCAAGAATGGAAGGCTAAGCTCAAATCCAGGCAAAAAACTTGGCTTGCAATTAGTTAATTTAAAATATTGCCTTACTTAGTCTAGCTTTCCCAAAGCAAAGGACTGTAGACAGACAATGGGAGGAGGACCAAGAGTTACAGAGTGTGGAGACCAAGGTCATGGCACTGGGAGACAGTAGAGCACAGTGGAAACCACTGTGGGTCAACAATTAGAGGACATGGACTCAAAGTCTCATCATACCTTGGACAGGTCCACCACATTCATTCACTTAAACTTTTGTTAAGCTTCAAGTGTACGCTGCCATTGAAGATTGACTAATTCTAATGATAAAAAGACATAGTTTCTGTTATTTAGTAGTTTGTAGTAGAGTTAATATGTAAGTAAGTAAGATACTATAACCATAGTACTAGTGCCATAGAAACACAAAGGAATAAGGCATAACTCATCCTATAGCAGACATAGGAGGTTTTTAGGAGGAAGAAAAGCCTCAAATGGGACCAAAAGGATGGGCAAGAGTTACCAAGTGAAATGGAGGTGGAAGAGTAGAATCTGGTAGGCAAAGGAAGCAGCCTGCTCAATGGCCAGGAGAGAAGATGAACCAGGACACACCTGGGGAACTATGAGTTAATTCACTGTGAGCAGGGAAGGGAATGGTGAGAAATGCAGCTGGAAATGTAAGCAGGGTCCTGGTCAGGAAACACCTTTTAAGTCATTCCCAGAGGGTACCCAAGCTGCAGGCTTGGGGGAACAGATTTTAATCAGGGAGTAACACAATGGGATTCGTGTTTTAGGTAGATCATTCTTTCTGACTGATGAAGTGATAAAATAGTAGAAAGATGATTTAGGAAGCTAGTGAAGTAGTTGAAATAAAAGATGACAAAATGGACTTCAATGGCAATGGAGATGAAGAAAGAATGACATTCAGAGATGGTGGTATAATTGCATCACTAATCTTTACCCATGAAATGTCCTGTCTAATAATGTTTTAAAGGAAAAAAATGTGAAAGTACCCAATTAACTTTGAAAACATAGGATGTTATTAAAGAAGGTTTTCTTAAAGCTTATGGAGGTAATTGAACTATTTTAAACTGAACAGTTTTAGTCTATGTGACATAAGAAAAATGGAAATGTTATCAGTTCCTATCATGTTAACACAAAAGCTCAGTTAGACTTATTTTCTTTTAAAATTACTCCTTGGAGTAATTACTTAATGAAAAGGCAAGCTCTGTTTTAAGAAAATCCACTATGAGATATATTTATTAAATACATTAAAAAGTATTATATAATAATGTATATAATACATTAAAAAGTAGGAGCAATGGTAACGCCTTATTATTAGAATATAGTTCTTTATGACTGTATTTGTTTCTCAAACTTTTTTGTTCCCCAACATACCTGAGAGACAGTCATCAACTCATTAACGTTATCAACTCATCAATCTATATTAAAGCAATGATTCTTCATGTGGGGTATGGCAGATTCTTGTGGGCATGTTAATTAATTGGAAATAAATCCTCACTCTCAAGTGATTCTGTTCCCCATCTCCCTCTCCTCAGAGCACCACTTTCTTTCTGATAAACATCTCATATGTAAATGTGGTACACAAATGCTTTCTTATATAATGCAACAAATATATTGAATCCATGTAGGTAGAAGGGGCGGTTTTTACTAGATTAGCAGAAGTCTTTATGCTTGATTGAAAGACTTCATTAACCTAGAACCTTTATGTCACATTCTAAACTTTTTCACAGAGATTAGTGGTATGAAGGGGAAAAATAAATATTTGTAACAAAAAGTATGTATATTTTAAAATTAATAGACACTTTGGAATTAAAAAAATTATTACATTTCAACCTAAAATATAATATTATCCCTCTAACATTAGTGAAGTATACTCAAATCAATTTTCCTTAATAATGTTTCTAATTCTGTAGCTATGTTTCTTCATTCACTGTGGATTTGTATCCTGGGGCTATTCATTGATGCTAACTGGAAGAGTGTGGTTTTCTGTGGTCTCCAGGATGACTCCTTATTGATTCATGTTACTTATGTAGGAGGGCTGAAGATCCTCTTTCCCTTGTTCATTTGCTTTTGTTTTGTGACTGTAGGGCAAAAGTGCAAATGACATGTGGCTTTAATAGACTAACTCAGCAATATCTGTGTTCGATGTGTTTTTCACCTAGAGCTATTTTCTAGTTCATTTTTAGCTCATATTTGTCCTACAGAATATCCTTGGGGCTAATGTGATCTTTTACCTATGAAAAGAAAGGCTTGCAACAAAAGCTACTGCTTCTCAGAATTTTAAGTTAACTCATTTTCTTTAGAACCTTCCATATGCCATTATCATATTGTGCATTATGCTGCAGTGATTCATTTTTATGTCTATCTTCCACAACTCTACTGCTGTAAAGTTCCTTGGGAGCAGAAATTCAGTTTTATCTACCGAGTGCAGAGAAAACAGTGAGAGTAATGGCAGGTGCATAGTGTATGGTCAGTAAATGCCCTTTGAATTGAACTCAGCTGTACTCTGCTGAGCACTTCTCTAGTGTTTATAAAACCCTTTCTGATATCCAATCTTATTTAAGCCTCATAAAAACTCTAGAAAATGATGACTATCCTCAACAACTCTTAACTGAACTTACTTTCTAAATATACCTTGACTCAGATCACTTCTCATCCTTTCATCTATGCAAACATCATTTCTACCCTGGACCATGTAATATTCTGGGACTTATCTCTCAGCACCACTCTTGTCCCTTGTGGTCCATTCTGCAGAATGCCTAGAATTTTCCTTTTAAAATGTAAAACACGTTACATTCACATAATTCCTCAGCTAACACCTTCCCATCTTCCAATGGCTTCTTATCATATTTATAACAAAACTCAAAGTACTTATCATGGCTTGCAAGGCCCTACCACAGTGTTGTTTCAAATTTTATCATAACCCATAGTAAGAAGGGTGTTTTACATTGCAACCCAGCATGCGTGTACAAGTGCACGTGCGTGCACACACACACGTACACACACACAAAAGAAAAACCATACACTGATATTTTCTATCTCATTTTACTCTTCTTAGTTACACTAAAAGGTGCTAGTGATGACACCAATTTGTTTTCATGACTGCAGTTTGGAAAACATGGCTCTACTTAGTCTGGCTCCTGCCTACTTTTCTGATATCACCTTTAGGCTTCCCTTTTCCACTCTGCACCAGTATATGGCATCCTTGCGGTTTCCTTACCACACCAAGCAAGCTCCCCCTTTAGGGTCTTTGCATTGTATTTCCTTCTGCCTGGGACATTCTTCCTCCAGATATTCACATTGCTCCCTCCTTTACTTCATTCAAATCTCTGCTCAAATGTTACCTTCTCAAAGAAGCCTTTTATGACCATCCTTTCTAAAATAGTACTCTTCGGCCGCCCCCTTGCCCGTCATGTAACACACATTCGTGTGTAACCTGGCACTAAAACATAAGTAGATGACCTGCTTCTGGGTCAGGGTTTCATATGTAGCAGAGGGGATCCTTGCTGTGATCTATTGAAAGTCAGCCCTTGGTACAAGTGTTTGTAAAAATAATACTAATAATAGTTTAAAAAGTAAAACAAAAACAAAAAGAAAAAAACTAAAAAGAAAAAATAGAATAGTACTCTGTTACACTCTAGCCTCTTAATCTTTTTTCTCTATGTGTCACTGTTTGACATTATATATCTCTTTTTATTATCTGTCTCATCAACTAGAATTTAAGATGCGTAAAAAGAGAGACAGTGACTCTTTGGGGCACTGCTGTATCCCAACTACCTAGAACACTGTCTGGCCCTTAGTAGTCATATAATCAATATTTGCTGAATGAATGTATCTGTGTTTAGAATTGAAGACACTAAAGCTCAGGATGTTAATGGATGTTAAGCACATTGCCCATGATTGTGTGGCTAATATGTGTATATCAAAAGCTGGAATCTACTTTTTAAAAATTATTTGAGTAATGTCAGACATGTCATAATTTATTTCATCTCTTTACCTGACCAATTTTTCCGAGTTAATATATCGTAGATTTTTGAATGCAAATAATTGTTCTTCATCAATGGTTCATACTTGTTGGATATCTACTATGTACTATATACTGTGCTTCCATTTCTTCTAGATTTTCAATTGTATATCTAGAAAACCCCATTGTCTCAGCCCAAAATCTCAAAATAATAACAGCTATTTATGACAAACCCATAGCAAATATCATACTGAATGGGCAGAAGCTGGAAACATTCCCTTTGAAAACCAGCACAAGACAAGGATGCCCTCTCTCACCACTCCTATTCAACATAGTATTGGAAGTTCTGGCCAGGGCAGTCAGGCAAGAGAAAGAAATAAAGCGTATTCAAATAGGAAGACAGGAAGTCAAATTGTCCCTGTTTGCAGATGACATGATTGCATATTTAGAAAACCCCATCATCTCAGTCCAAAATCTCCTTAAGCTGATAAGCAACTTCAGCAAAGTCTCAGGATACAAAATCAATGTACAAAAATCACAAGCATTCTTATACACGAATAACAGACAAATAGAGAGCAGTGGTTTGTAGTTCTCCTTGAAGAGGTCCTTCACATCCCTTGTAAGTTGGATTCCTAGGTCTTTTATTCTCAATTCTTTGTCCCATGGTCTAGTGAGAAGATAAATAAGTAAATGTTGATGATACGTATTCCAAATTTTAAGCTTATTGTACATTGGAAACACATAAAAATAACCCAGTAATGTGGGTTACAGAAGGCTGCTTGGAGTGATTAATTTTCAAACAGGAACATGAAGGGCTAAAAAAGAAATTATCCAAGTGAAGAAAGGCAAGCAGAAGAAAGGGTATATGCAAAAATCCCAGGGTCAAGAGAGGGTGGAGAGAATTGCAAAGCTTTAAGCTTTCTGAGTGACTTAATGGAGAAGGGTGAGAAATTATTTTGGGCTGGTAAGCAGGGACCAGATAAGGAAGGAGTTCCCAAGCATTGTCATGTACCATGCATGCTATCCTAGGGTGAAGGGAAGCCATTCACTAGGAAGTGGGGCAATAGCATTAGCAGATTTGAAGTTTCAAAGGGCCACTGTCTGCAGTGTGGGACTGGAGTTGAGAAAAGGGAGCTAGAAGGCAGGAGGATAGATCTGTAGTAATCTAAATCACTGTAGACATGGGCAGAATATTCAAGAGATGTTTAGAAGCTAATAATTGACATGAATTGTAAATAATTAAATTTGGAATTTAAGGGAGGTGGAATTCAAAGATGAGTAATATCATATGGTAGAGGGTTAATAAATATGTGTTAAATGAACGAATGAAGAAAGAAAGATTCCTGACCAAGGCACTGGGTGATTGGTGGTGCAATTACTGAAACTTTTCAGTTAAAGAACCATAGAAAATTTTAATTTCCAAGGAGCAGGAAAGAGAAATTTCATTTTCAAGACATGATTACACTTTTTGATGGTGTAGAGCTAATAAATAAATCTGAGAAAACTACAGAACAGAATGAAAAATAGAGAAAACTGAATTCAACTTCTTTGCCAAACCACTGGAGCATTATGTAATTAAGCTTTCTAATTACACTCAGTTCAGATCATAATTAAAATTTGCATTACTAGCTTTCAAAGGTTCCTCTGGTCACCTAATGCTATGATGTCTCTAAGCAACATTAGTGCTTTCCATTTATAACACATTATAATTCCATGCTTTTCGCATTGCAAGTACTTAAGAAAGTTTTGTTGAATTACCTGGTATGATATTTGTTGAACATTTGGAACTAGTTTCTCTTGAATAAAGCAGTAGATGAAAATCTTTCATTGCAAACTGAGTGACTTGCTCAAGGTCACTCATCTTACTAGTGCCAGAGTCAATGGTGCTTCAGTGCTCTTTCCATTGTTCCTTTCAGAAAACCTGTGACGCATTATGAGGCTCAGAGATTCTCCCTGCTCACTTTAGTCTACGGACTGCATTTGATTATGAGACACAAATCTTGTGTCCACTTTGATTACAATTCACAAATTTCTTTGTCCTGTTCTTTAAAATCATAGTATATGATATATCTGTCCAGAAATCATTGTATTCTACCAAGAACTAGATGCCATTAAAGATTGAGAGAAAATCACCTACTTTCTCTAGAATGTTTTCTTTTGCGTCTATACAAATGAAACATAACTAGGCAAATGACAAGACTTGCTTCTCTACTGTATAAGTGGTTAGAGCAGAGGTCTTAATCTTTGCTGCATGTTAGAATCATTTGGGAAGTTTAAAAATATCCTGACACCAAGGCCTCACCCCAGAACAATTAAATCAGAATCTCTGAGGTGGGATCTAGGCAGCAGTATTTTTAAAACTCCCAGATGATTTCAATGTGCAGCCGTAGCTGAACCATAAACTAGAGCAATTTAATTGAAAATGATAAATATGCACACAAAGCACCTCTTAATGTTTTCATTTTTTCTTGCCACAAGGTGGCAGCATCACAATATATTGCACATTCTCGCCCCTCTGAGTGGACGTGGAAATTTGTATCTAGAATCCTGATTAACAGCATTTCAAGAGCCCCGTCAGCTAGAGATAAAGTCGCCTTTTTCCCTGCTGTTCTCTGTTGCTTTGTTTGCCTAATAAAACGTTAAAATATATTTCAATAGGTTGAATTAGTAGGAACTATAAGCCTGGGGTGGAAAAATGCAAAGAACACAGACATTGTATTCAGTTAGATTTGGGTTTAAATATGGCCTCTGCTACTAACTCATAGATTTTTAAATCTTTGTGTGCCTCAGTTGCATACTTGGAATAGGAGGTTTGTCACAAAGACTAAATGAGATAATATATGAAAATCCACTTTCTACGAATGGTAGTAGAATGATGAAGATGTTGAGAAGAAAACATGATAATGCTGTGATGGAGTCATTTACACAAGATCCAGGAAAACCCAGGACACTGTACTCTTTTATTTATAGCCTTTGTTTTCTGCATGTGGGTCTCTTCCTTCTCTGTGTGTGTCCTATGTTTCAGTTTCCAGTGGCAATTACTTCTTACAAATAAACATGTTCTAGTCTCTTTCATTTCAAAGAACAAAGAATCAAAGCAAACCTTTATTTTTAACTACACTTCTACCTTTAGCAATGGAAGTATGACTTATAGCTTTATAGCCAAGTCTCTATAAAACATTAGTCCTTGTTTACTCACAATTACTCCAGTTCACTTTTTAAACATTGACACTGCTTTCTCTAAATTCACCAGTGGCCTCTTAGGTGCCAAGTCCAAAAAAATGGGTATCTCATGTATTTGCCCATTTGAATAAGCTGACAACACCTTCCTTTCTGCACCCCTGCATGTTAATTTCTGTGGTGGCAGCACACCTGTTCTCCTGCAGCCTCCATTGCTCAATGTGGGTTGTTCTCTCTTCCCTTAGAATTGTGCATCTCAGAAATTTTTTCTTTATAGCCCTTATTTCTTTTCTCTCTGGGAGTCTTATCTTCCACCACAGCCTTAATTTTAATTATCATAAATGGCTCAATTCTACACATCGTCCCATAGAGCTGGCCTGAGTTCCAGATGTATAAATCTAACAGTCACTGGAATTGAAATTGGCATTGCAAAATCAACATATTAAATATTAAACTGGCCATATCTCCTCTCTACACCAAATCTATGCTTCCTCCTTCCAATTCATGGCACTACTTTCTATCCAGGTTTTCATCTGGATAATGAGATACCTTGGAGTCTTTTCTTTCTATTCCCTCAGCCCCCTTCACATCCAAGGTGACTGGAAAATTTAATCAATTTGCATTCAAGGTAATTATTAATAGGTAAGGACTTAATACTGCCATTTAGCTCATTGTTTTCTGGTTGTTTTGTAGGTTCTTTGTTCATTTCTTCCCCTCTTTTTTTGTCTTTTTTTTCTGATAAAATAATTTTCTCTGGTGGTATGCTTTGATTCCCTACTTTGTATCTTTTTTGTCTCTACCATAAATTTTTACTTTGTGGTTACCATGAGAATTACAAAAACATCTTATAGTTATAACAAGCTACTTTAAGCTGATAACAACTTTTTGCTTGCATTTT